>NC_000001.11:231638667-231790182 GCF_000001405.40 Homo sapiens
TTTCTGGGTTTTTTATTCTGTTTCATTGATCTATGTGTCTATTTTTATACCAGCCTATTTGTTACCTATTGCTGTGTTTACTCGTTATTCTCTTTTTTAATGAGTAAAATACCCTTTTTAAAAGACAACATCCAAATTAGGAGACTGCCTTTGATTAAAATGAATAACTATTAATCATCACAGAGCAGGGAAAGTGTGAATCATCAGGAATTTAGTGGAGAGAAATCCACTGTTTTGGGTATGTCTTTGTATTAGTCTGGGGTAAATTTCTTGAGGACAAACCTTGTCTCATTTGCCTTCTTATAATTCATGTTAGACTTATAGTAACAGTAAAGACTTACTGAATTGGGTTGCTTTAAAACAGCATGTGTAATATAGCCACCATGGCATGCAGGAGTAGGTAGAATTGCCCCCAACCAGGAGTGGCTCTTGAAACATCACAGGGAGAGGATTAGGTAACGGTTGGGTTAGAAAGAGGAGCACAAGGCACTTGTCTTCATGTTGCTTGGGCTCACAAGCACACTTTTCATGTAGATTGCGTGTTCAAGATCAACATGCCAAAAGTGGCAAAAATCTCTAAAGGAGCCTCCATCTACACATTTCGTGAGAGAAAAATGTCCATTCTCCATATCAAAGCACATTATCATGATTTTAATTTGGAGTGGATTTAGGGGACTGATGAAGCATGGGGCACTGCAGCATCCCCCTAGCCAACCCTTACACCTGTGGTGCTCCCAACACCTCCTGCGTTCATCATTTATCATGAAGTATGGTGCATTCCTGAAACACTGGACAAGTGCATCTTCTCCTAGAAGCACGGAGGTACATTCCAAAGGCAAACTCACTTAAATTGTGATCAGAATACTTCAACTTGCTTGCTATTGTTGTGGATAAGTGATAGTTAACCACAACCGGCTGAGTGGCCAGGTGGAAAGGACATGGATGGGGAAGGAGGTTCAGGGTCCTGCATAAGTCCTCTAGTGTCTGTAGATCTCAGTGTCCTCCCTTGTGAAAATGGGGATAATATCAGCCCTCAATTTACACAGTTGTAGTGAAGGTCCAATGTGATCAGTGTTTGTCACAACCTGTCATCATTTATGTGTATAGAACTGCTTTTACTATAAACTTGCTTGTATTGTCCCCAGCAGCCAGTCCTGCCTATAATCTGTTGGCTTCATTGCTTGTCCAGTGATCTGTGGCTCCCTCCTGTCCTAATCCAGGTCCAAGTGGATTAATGTTATCTGATTCACGTTAGTGTTTCTACAGATATGTAATGTTATCTGAATCACATTAGTGTTTCTACAGCAAAACAGATGCTTGTTCCCACTAAGTAGGATAAATGAAGACTCTAAATTGCTTCACATCTGTGCACATGAGGTTCTGCCACCATGTGAGTTCAGTCAGGTCAGATTACTGCCAGATGAATTAGAGAAGGCTTGAGGTTCTCAGAGAATTTTGGATTTTGGAATTAGAGATGATGCATCATGGATTTGTGCTTAATAGCTGTTTTGCTACTTTCCCTCCCCTTCCCCTCTCTCCCTCCTCCTCCACTTCCAGTTCTTAGCCTCAGTTACTATTGTACTGCCTCCGTTTCTTGAGACAGGCTGCTGATATGCTGCCTTTGGTCTCTGAGCCACCAGGTATAGCGCTGCATAATGGAAGAACAGATGAACATAAGAGTGTCTTGGGGAAGATGAGCACAAGACATCATGGGGTTGTATTGTTACCCCCAGCTTCAGCACATTCCCGGAGTGTAAGTGCAGGCTGGCTTCTCCATAAAGCAACACAGCAGTATGCTCTGAGTGGGAGTACCTCCGAAACTCAGCTTCCAAAACTGTGGGCTCACCAGACCTCCTTGGTATTTTTTTTTTTTTTTTTTGAGACAAGGTCTCCCTCTGTTGCCCATGCTGGAGTGCAGTGGCATGATCACAGCTCACTGCAGCCTCTACTTGCTGGGCTCAAATGATCCTCCCATCTCTGCTCTGCAAGTAGCTGGGACTATAGGAGTGTGTCACAATGCCTGGCTATTTTTATTTTTATTTATTTTTTGTAGAGACAGGATCTCCCTATGTTACCCGGGCTGGTCTCAAACTGCTGGGCTCAAGAAAACCTCCTGCCTCTGTCTCCCAAAGGGCTGGGATTATAGGCATGAGCCACCACGCTGTGCCCCTCCCTGGTTTTTGATCCTTGGTCTGACCCCTGGATTCTCCTGGTTGACTTACACTCTTTGGAGTGCTGACTAGTATAGACTCTCCCAATGCTGCCTTTTGGATGAATCCTGTGATGCCACATTTTCCAGCCTTAGGACAAATGATAACCTACCCTGTAGTCTGTCCATGCTCTGGAGACCCTGCTGGTCTTACAAGATGAACTGGACAACTGCTTTCACTGATAGGCCTGAAGGAAAAGGGTTGGAACTGTCAAGGTTCCCCATTAAATACCAACCAGCAATGACAATCAAGGTGAGCTATTCTTGTGCTGGGTAGGATGCTATCTTGGGCTCTGAGTGTGTCCGGAATTGGTGGGTTCTTGGTCTCACTGACTTCAAAAATGAAGCCGCGGACCCTCGCGGTGAGTGTTACAGTTCTTAAAGGCGGCGTGTCTGGAGTTTGTTCCTTCTGATGTTCGGATGTGTTCGGAGTTTCTTCTTTCTAGTGGGTTCGTGGTCTCGCTGGCTCAAGAGTGAAGCTGCGGACCTTCGCGGTGAGTGTTACAGCTCTTAAGGCGGCGCGTCTGGAGTCGTTCGTTCCTCCTTGTAGGTTCGTGGTCTCGTTGGCTTCAGGAGTGAAGCTGCAGACCTTCGTGGTGACTGTTACAGCTCATAAAGGCAGTGTGGACCCAAAGAGTGAGCAGCAGCAAGGTTTGTTGCAAACAGCGAAAGAACAAAGCTTCCACAATGTGCAAAGGGACCGGAGAGGGTTGCCGCTGCTGGCGCCTGCAGCCTGCTTTTATTCTCTTATCTGGCCCCACCCACATCCTGCTGATTGGTACAGCCCAGTCGTCTGTTTTGACAGGGCGCTGATTGGTACGTTTACAATCCCTGAGCTAGACACAAATGTTCGCCACCTCCCCACCAGATTAGCTAGATACAGAGTGTCCATTGGTGCATTCACAAACCCTGAGTTAGACACAGGGTGCTGACTGGTGTTTTTACAATCCCTGAGCTAGACATAAAGGTTCTCCAAGGCCCCACCAGACTCAGGAGCCCAGCTGGCTTCACCCAGTGGATCCCGCACCGGGGCTACAGGTGGAGCTGCCTGCCAGTCCCCTGCCGTGTGCCTGCACTCCTCAGGCCTTGGGTGGTCGATGGGACTGGGCGCTGTGGAGCAGGGGGCGGCGCTTGTCGGGGAGGCTCGGGCTGCACAGGAGCCCACGAAGGGCGGGGAGGCTCAGGCATGGCGGGCTGCAGGTCCCCAGCCCTGCCCCGCGGGAAGGCAGCCAAGGCCTTGCGAGAAATTGAACACAGCAGCTGCTGGCCCAGGTGCTAAGCCCTTCACTGCCCGGGGCCGGCGGGGCCGGCCGGCCACTCCGAGTGCGGACCCGCGGAGCCCATGCTCACCCGGAACTCGCGCTGGCCCGCAAGCACCGCGCGCAGCCCCCGGTTCCCGCCCGCGCCTCTCCCTCCACACCTGCCTGCAAGCTGAGGGAGCCGGCTCCGGCCTTGGCCAACCCAGAAAGGGGCTCCCACAGTGCAGCGGCGGGCGGAAGGGCTCCTCAAGTGCCGCCAAAGTGGGAGCCCAGGCAGAGGAGGTGCCGAGAGCGAGCGCGGGCTGCGAGGACTGCCAGCACGCTGTCACCTCTCGTGAGTATCTCTAGTGCTGCTGGCGATGAGATGATTCAGTGTGGATGATTGATACCAAATGTATCATGGACAGTGAAGGCTGTGTAACAACACATATAGGTAGGCTCTGTTACAGGAGTTACAGTTCTAGGCCCAGTAAATCTTTTTTTTTTCACTGTGCAATTGAATTTTGGTTTTACCTATATAACATTTTCATCTGTATGAAATGTAAGCTCTATACAATTCTCCATTAGGACATTGTGTGGATTTTGGTGTTTCTGAATCTCTTCTGGCTCAGAAAATTCCCTGCTCTTGCTGGTATAATTTCATACCCAAAGAGGGCATTCTAACCTTGAAAGAAGTTCAGCTCAGCAGAGCGTCTGTCATTGCCTTTCTCTGTAAACACAGTTTTCCTTCTTCCTTGGCTTCTCAGGTGTTTTAGCTCCAGGGAGGAAATAGTCACAGTGAAAATCTATTTAATAAAACCGTTATGAAAATGTACTCAACCTGAGCATGCACTGGAACAGCAGAAGATGAGGACTTGGTCTACTGCCTTCCCACCAAACCTTGCCGGCTCTGTAAATTTTCAGAGCTGTCACTTGTGAGCTATTTCCACCAAGGGAGAGCTTCTGTAAAGTTGGGGACTTGGCAGGCCATTTCGCTAATTCTTTGGGTGTTCTTTTAGCATTGTCTGCAGTGAGTGTGGGAGTCAAAGGCCCTTCAGTGCAGAGATAATGCCATCTTGTTCCCTGGAACCCCGAAAGAGCCAGAGTCAAAGGAGCTTTTTGTTTCACTCATAGAAAAACCCACAGGAAATCCCAGCTTCAGATATTCCTATTCAGTTTCCTTGTCCCTTCAGATCTCACTGTGTTTAGGCCTCCTTTGAGTGAGGCAATAACTAGTAAAAAAAAATAAAATAAAATAAATGAAAGAATGCCATTCATGGTGGCTTGGGGACTGGGCACACACACTGTATACACGGTGTGGGGGCCTTCCCCGGGACGCTGATGTCCTTGTTCTCCTAGCAGTCAAAAATTGGCCAGTGAAATACAGAGAATACTAGCTACCTCATACTGTTAAGAGAATTGACTGCGGTCAGATGTGTAGAGTTTCAAGTACATACAGTTTCTGCCTCACTGTAGGCGCTCAATATTATTATTGAGGAGCTATTATTAGATTTCACATCTCTGCCAGCTCTTGTGTCACTTATTAAGCATATGACTGGGAATAAGCTATTTAATTCTCTTCGTCTGTAAGATAGGAAGTAATAATGCTTATTTTGTGGGCCTATTGTGAGGATCATGTAAGATGAGAGATAAAAGGGCTTAGCAAACGGTAGCATATTACAGGTGGCCTGCAGCCTGCCGCTGTGCAGGTGACGTCCCACACAATGGTACTGGCCGAGGGGTGAATGGAGCCCTGGTGCTGAGGATGGCGAGCCTTTTTCTAATTCATCAGCTCAGAGGTGCCACCTTTTTCTAATTTACCCTCCCTAAGAGGACATCTTTTTATATTTTACCAGCCCACAGAAGATACCTTTTAAAAATTTGCACAATGGTACCATATGTGCTAGCTGCAATTCTGTCAACAAGAGAAAGATGTTATTTTTAGTGTAGCAGACAGAGAATTCTGGAGAGGGCACATGGCATGCTTTATCTGGCTCCAACTTGGTCATTTCTGTTTAATTTCAATGATCTGATTGCCATAGAGTCAGAGGAGCAATTTTGCTATTGCCCAAATTCTACATTTTCACTAGGATTTTCCTTGAAGGCAAGGACTATAACCCCCACCCTGCCCATCACCTTGCTTGCTCACCACTGCCCTGTACATATCCTTCAGAATGGACATTTGTTAACAATGGGTAAGAGTGTAGGCTGGCCTTTCACTTACCTTCCTGTGCTTTGCTCTTTACTGCTAGGGCTAGCAGCCGGAAAGCTACATATCCCAGGCTTTCTCGCCAGCTCATTTGCTGTTAAATTCTGTTAATAGGAGGCACTGGTGGGAGACCAGTAAGACGGAGAGAAAAACTTCCTGATTCTGGGTTTTACTGTGAGGCCATTGCAAGCAGTTGCTGTAGTGATAGTAAGGAAGGGGTGAGTTGGAACATCAGCAACCCTGCAGGTAACCCCCTTATTGGGGCTCCAATCTTAGTTGATGTAGCACTTCCTTGGTGGCTTCAGAGCCAAATGGCACAACCTCCTCAACAGTACAGCAGATTGAGAAGGCTGAGGGACATCGTTTAGGAGCATTAATGATGGGTGTCTAGCTATGACCCCCTTTTCCTTTTCACTTCTGTCCTCTCCTTCTCCTTTGTTCTCTTCTAGTTCTTTCTATATCTTTGTAACAAATTCCCTATATTAAATTTCTTCTGCTTGAGATACTTGAAGTGGTCTTAGTTTCCCTGCATTTAGCACGTGGACTCTCTGAATCTGTTGGGTGCTTAGGGCCTGGGTTTGTGCCCTAGGATCCTGTGACTGAATTCTTCCTTTCTCTTTCCATCCTCATCATGCATGCAGGATTGTCGCAGTAGCCTTTAAATAGATTTTCAGCCACCAGCCTCTTTCTGTTCACTGTGGACATTATTGGTAGTTTAATTTTTCTAAAAATCTATTTTCTGGATCCACATTTCTGCTCAAAACTCTATTTTTATGATAACTATTTAAGCATAGGTATAGTCATCTATGACCTAAACCCCAAAGGCAGGATCGTCACCATGGCCACCTTTTCTGTGATCCTAATAACAGAGAGATCTGTGTCAGAAGAGGATTGGTTGTTCTTTCACCCTGGCTAACTGGAAGGCAGGGAGCTCAGTGGTAGACACACCGGTCATCATGCTGGTGTGGGAAAGATTTCAAAGCCTGGCCATAGCTCCCACTGAAGCTCCTTTCTGCACCTTACTGCTTCCTTGTACAAGTCAAACCAGGGCCTTTAGAGCAGGGACCTTCATTGCACTGCCCTCTCCTCGCCTCCCAAATGATAATATCCAGCTTTCAAGGTCTGCCTGATGTCCCAGGGTTAGGAGGGCAGAGACCAGGCAGTTTATGTCATGTCACTTCTTTTTTTTTTTTGTCTTTTAAAAAATTTATTATACTTTAAGGTCTGGGGTACATGTGCACAACATGCAGGTTTGTTACATAGGTATACATGTGCTATGTTGGTTTGCTGCACCCACTAACTTGTCATTTACATTAGGTATTTCTCCTAATGCTATCCCTCCCCGCACCCCACGACAGGCCCCAGTGTGCGATGTTCCCTGTCCTGTGTCCAAGTGTTCTCATTGCTCAATTCCCACCTATGAGTGAGAACATGCACTGTTCGGTTTTCTGTCCTTGCGATAGTTTGCTGAGAATGATGGTTTCCAGCTTCATCCATGTCCTTGCAAAGGACATGAACTCATCCTTTTTTATGGCTGCGTAGTATTCCATGGTGTATATGTGCCACATTTTCTTTTCTTTTTTTTTTTTTAGAGATAACAATACTCACTTTCAACAATTTCTAGAACTACAGAGAAGAAAAACAAGGAAATAGAAGATTTGAGCAACACAATTAACTAGACCTAACACACATCTACAGAACAGTCTATCCAACAATAGCAGAATATGTACTTTTCTTTTTTTTTTTTTACAATAACAGTGTTATCATTTATTATTTTGATTAACTCGTCATTTAGCATTAGGTATATCTCCTAATGCTATCCCTCCCCACTCCCCCCATGCCACAACAGTCCCTGGTGTGTGATGCTCCCCTTCCTGTGTCCATGTGTTCTCATTGTTCAATTCCCACCTATGAGTGAGAACATGCGGTGTTTGATTTTTTGTCCTTGCGATAGTTTGCTGAGAATGATGGTTTCCAGCTTCATCCATGTCCCTACAAAGGACATGAACTCATCCTTTTTTATGGCTGCATAGTATTCCATGGTGTATATGTGCCACATTTTCTTAATCCAGTCTATCATTGACGGACATTTGGGTTGGTTCCAAGTTTTTGCTATTGTGAATAGTGCTGCATATAAACATAAGCGTGCATGTGTCTTTCTAGTAGCATGATTTATAATCCTTTGGGTATATAAATAGCAATTTTGCTATTGCCCCAATTCTAAATTTTTGGGGCAATTTAGATCGCTGGGTCAAATGGGATCACTGGGCCAAATGGTATTTCTAGTTCTAGATCCTTGATGAATCGCCGCACTGTCTTCCACAATGGTTGAACTAGTTTACACTCCCACCAACAGTGTAAAAGCATTCCTGTTTCTCCATATCCTCTCCAGCATCTGTTGTTTCCTGACTTTTTAATGATCACCATTCTAACTGATGTGATATGGTATCTCATTGTGGTTTTGATTTGCATTTCTCTGATGACCAGTGATGATGAGCATTTTTTCATGTGTCTGTTGGCTGCATAAATGTCTTCTTTTGAGAAGTTTCTGTTCATATCCTTTGCCCACTTTTTGATGGGCTTGTTTATTTGTTTTTTCTTGTACATTTGTTTAAGTTCTTTGTAGATTCTGGATATTAGCCCTTTGTCAGATGGGTAGATTGCAAAAATTTTCTCCCATTCTATAGGTTGCCTGTTCACTCTGATGGTAGTTTCTGTTGCTGTGCAGAAGCTCTTTAGTTTAATTAGATCCCATTTGTCTATTTTGGCTTGTGTTGCCATTGCTTTTGGTGTTTCAGTTATTAAGTCCTTGCCCATGCCTATGTCCTGAAAGGTATTGCCTAGGTTTTCTTCTAGGGTTTTTATGGTTTTAGGTCTAACATTTAAGTCTTTAATTCATCTTGAATTAATTTTTGTATAAGGTGTAAGGAGGGGATCCAGTTTCAGCTTTCTACATATGGCTAGCCAGTTTTCTCAGCACCATTTATTAAATAGGGAATCCTTTCCCCATTTCTTGTTTTTGTCAGCTTTGTCAAAGATCAGATGGTTGTAGATGTGTGGTGTTATTTCTGAGGGCTCTGTTCTGTTCCATTGGTCTATCTCTCTGTTTTGGTACCAGCACCATGCTGTTTTGGTTACTGTAGCCTTGTAGTATAGTTTGAAGTAGTGTGTTGCCTCCAGCTTTGTTCTTCTTGCTTAGGATTGTTTTGGCAATGCAGGCTCTTTTTTGGTTCCATATGAACTTTAAAGTAGTTTTTTCCAATTCTGTGAAGAAAGTCATTGGTAGCTTGATGGGGATGGCATTGAATCTATAAATTACCTTGGGCAGTATGGCCATTTTCACGATATTGATTCTTCCTATCCATGAGCATGGAATGTTCTTCCATTTGTTTGTGTCCTCTTTTATTTCGTTGAGCAGTAGTTTGTAGTTCTCCTTGAAGAGGTTCTTTACATCCCTTGTAAGTTGGATTCCTCGGTGTTTTATTCTCTTTGTAGCAATTGTGAATGGGAGTTTGCTCATGATTTGGGTCTCTGTTTGTCTGTTATTGGTGTATAGGAATGCCTGTGATTTTTGCACATTGATTTTGTATCCTGAGACATTACTGAAGTTGCTTATCTGCTTAAGGAGATTTTGGGCTGAGATGATGGGGTTTTCTAAATATACAATCATATCATCTGCCAACAGGGACAATTTAACTTCCTCTTTTCCTAATGGAATACTCTTTATTTCTTTCTCTTGTCTGATGGCCCTGGCCAGAACTTCCAACACTATGTTGAATAGGAGTGCTGAGAGAGGGCATCCCTGTCTTATGCCAGTTTTCAAAGGTAATGCTTCCAGTTTTTGCTCATTCAGTGTGATATTGGCTATGGGTTTGTCATAAATAGCTCTTATTATTTTGAGATACATTCCATCAATACCTAGTTTATTGAGTTTTTAGCATGAAGTGCTGTTGAATTTTGTTGAAGGCCTTTTCTGCATCTGTTGAGATAATCATGTGTTTTTTTTCATTGGTTCTGTTTATGTGATGGATTACGTTTATTGACTTGCATATGTTGAACCAGCCTTGCATCCCAGGGATGAAGCTGACCTGATCATGGTGGATAAGCTTTTTGATGTGCTGCTGGATTCGGTTTGCCGGTATTTTATTCAGGATTTTTGCATCGACGTTCATCAGGGATATTGGTCTAAAATTCTCTTTTTTGTTGTGTCTCTGCCAGGCTTTGGTATCAGGATGATGCTGGCCTCATAAAATGAGTTAGGGAGGATTCCCTCTTTTTCTATTGATTGGAATAGTTTCAGAAGGAATGGTACCAGCTCCTCTTTGTACTTCTGGTAGAATTCGGCTGTGAACCCATCTGGTCCTGGACTTTTTTTGGTTGGTAGGCTATTAATTATTGCCTCAATTTCAGATCCTGTTATTGGTCTATTCAGAGATTCAACTTCTTCCTGGTTTAGTCTTGGGAGGGTGTATGTGTCCAGGAATTTATCCATTTCTCCTCGATTTTTCTAGTTTATTTGTGTAGAGGTATTTATAGCATTCTCTGATAGTAGTTTGTATTTCTGTGGGATCAGTGGTGATATCCCCTTTATCATTTTTTATTGCGTCTGTTTTATTCTTCTCTCTTTTCTTCTTTATTAGTCTTGCTAGCGGTCTATCAATTTTGTTGATCTTTTCAAAAAACCAGCTCTTGGATTCATTGATTTTTTGAAGGGTTTTTTGTCTCTATCTCCTTCAGTTCTGCTCTGATCTTAGTTATTTCTTGCCTTCTACTAGCTTTTGAATGTGTTTGCTCTTGCTTCTCTAGTTCTTTTAATTGTGATGTTAGGATGTCAATTTTAGATCTTTCCTGCTTTCTCTTATGGACATTTAGTGCTGTAAATTTCCCTCTACACACTGCTTTAAATGTGTCCCAGAGATTCTGGTATGTTGTGTCTTTGTTCGCATTAGTTTCGAAGAACACCTTTATTTCTGCCTTCATTTTGTTATTTACCCAGTAGTCATTCAGGAGCAGGTTGTTCAGTTTCCATGTAGTTGTGCGGTTTTGAGTGAGTTTCTTAATCCTGAGTTCTAGTTTGATTGCACTGTGGTCTGAGAGACAGTTTGTTATGATTTCTGTTCTTTTACATTTTCTGAGGAGTGCTTTACTTCCAATTATGTGGTCAGTTTTGGAATAAGTGCAATGTGGTGCTGAGAAGAATGTATATTCTGTTGATTTGGGGTGGAGAGTTCTGTAGATGTCTATTAGGTCTGCTTGGTGCAGAGCTGAGTTGAAGTCCTGGATATCCTTTTAACCTTCTGTCTTGTTGATCTGTCTAATATTGACAGCGGGGTGTTAAAAGTCTCCCATTATTATTGTGTGGGAGTCTAAGTCTCTTTGCAGATCTCTAAAGACTTGCTTTATGAATCTGGGTGCTCCTGTGTTGGGTGCATATATATTTAGGATAGTTAGCTCTTCTTGTTGAATTGATCCCTTTGCCATTATGTAATGGCCTTCTTTGTCTCTTTTGATCTTTGCTGGTTTAAAGTCTGTTTTATCAGAGACCAGGATTGCAACCCCTGCTTTTTTCTTTTTTGCTTTCCATTTGCTTGGTAGATCTTCCTCCATCCCTTTATTTTGAGCCTATGTGTGTCTCTGCACGTGAGATTGGTCTCCTGAATACAGCACACTGATGGGTCTTGACTCTTTGTCCAATTTGCCAGTCTGTGTCTTTTAATTGGGGCATTTAGCCTATTTAGATTTAAGGTTAATATTGTTATGTGTGAATTTGATCCCATCATTATGATGTTAGCTGGTTATTTTACCTGTTAGTTGATGCAGTTTCTTCCTAGCATTGATGGTCTTTACAGTTTGGCATGTTTTTGCAGTGGCTGGTACCCGTTGTTCCTTTCCATGTTTAGTGCTTCCTTCAGGAGCTCTTGTAAGGCAGACCTAGTGGTAACAAAATCTCTGAGCATTTGCTTGTCTGTAAAGGATTCTATTTCTCCTTCACTTATGAAGCTTAGTTTGGCTGGATATGAAATTCTGGGCTGAAAATTCATTTCTTTAAGAATATTGAATATTGGCCCCCACTCTCTTCTGGCTTGTAGAGTTTCTGCTGAGATATCCACTGTTAGTCATCAGACTTCCCTTTGTGGGTAACCCGACCTTTCTCTCTGGCTGCACTTAACATTTTTTCCTTCATTTCAACCTTGGTGAATCTGACAATTATATGTCTTGGGGTTGCTCTTCTTGAGGAGTATCTTTGTGGTGTTCTCTGTATTTCCTGAATTTGAATGTTGGCCTGCCTTGCTAGGTTGGGGAAGTTCTCCTGGATAGTATCCTGCAGAGTGTTTTCCAACTTGGTTCCATTCTCCCCGTCACTTTCAGGTACACCAGTCAAACGTAGATTTGGTCTTTTCACATAGTCTCATATTTCTTGGAGGCTTTATTTGTTTCTTTTTACTCTTTTTTCTCTAAACTTCTCTTCTCGCCTTATTTCATTAATTTGATCTTCAGTCGCTGATACCCTTTCTTCCACTTGGTCAAATCAGCTATTGAAGCTTGTGCATGCGTCATGTAGTTCTTGTGCCATGGTTTTCAGCTTCATCAGTTCATTTATGGTCTTCTCTACACTGTTTATTCTAGTTAGCCATTTGTCTAATTTTTTTTCAAGGGTTTTAGCTTCCTAGCAATGGGTTCAAATGTCCTCCTTTAGCTCGGAGAAGTTTGTTATTACTGACCTTCTGAAGTCTACTTGTGTCAGCTCGTCAAAGTCATTCTCTGTCCAGCTTTGTTCTGTTGCTGGCGAGGAGCTGTGATCCTTTGGAGGAGAAGAGGTGCTCTGGTTTTTAGGATTTTCAGCTTTTCTGCTCTGGTTTCTCCCCATCTTTGTGGTTTTATCTACCTTTGGTCTTTGAAGATGGTGACCTACAGATGGGGTTTTGGTGTGGATGTCCTTTTTGTTGATGTTGATGCTATTCCTTTCTGTTTGTTAGTTTTCCTTCTAACAATCAGGTCTCTCAGCTGCAGGTCTGTTGGAGTTTGCTGGAGGTCCACTCCAGACCCTGTTTGCCTGGGTATCACCAGTGGAGGCTGCAGAACAGCAAATATTGCAGAACAGTAAATATTGCTGCCTGATCCTTCCTCTGGAGGCGTTGTCCCAGAGAGGTGCCCGCCTGTATGAGGTGTCAGTCGGCCCCTACTTGGAGGTGTCTCTCAGTTAGGCTACACAGGGGTCAGGGAGCCACTTGAGGAGGCAGTCTGTCTGTTCTCATAGCTCAAACACCATGCTGGGAGAACCACTGCTCTCTTCAGAGCTGTCAGATAGGGACGTTTAAGTCTGCAGAAGTTTCTGCTGCCTTTTGTTCAGCTATGCCCTGCCCCTAGAGCTGGGGTCTACAGAGGCAGCAGGCCTTGGAGAGCTGCGGTGGGCTCCGCCCAGTTCAAGCTTCTCCAGCCGCTTTGTTTACCTACTCAAGCCTCAGCAATGGCAGATGCCCCTCCCTCTGCCAGGCTGTTGCCTCGCAGGTCGATCTCAGACTGCTGAGCTAGCAGTGAGCAAGGCTCCATGGGTGTGGGACCTGCTGAGCCAGGCACAGGATGTAATCTCTTGGTGTGCTGTTTGCTAAGACCATTGGAAAAACGCAGTATTTGGGTGAGAGTGTCCTAATTTTCCAGGTACAGTCTGTCACAGCTTGCCTTGGCTAGGAAAGGGAAATCCCCTGACCCCTTGTGCTTCCTGGGTGAGATAATGCCCCGCCCTGCTTCGGCTCACCCTGTGTGGGCTGCACCCACTCTCCAACCAGTCCCAATGAGATAAACAGGTACCTCAGTTGGAAATGCAGAAATCACCATCTTCTGCATCGATCATGCTGGGAGCTGCAGACCAGAGCTGTTCCTATTTGGCCATCTTGGAACAGAATGCATCATGTCACTTCTTATACATGAATGAGAATAACTGTGAAATGTGCACATGTGCTCTGAGCCTAGATAAGATTGTTACTATCATGTTATATTGTTATTATTGTGTTATTATCGTTATTATCATGTTATTTTCTTACCCATAGGTTTTCCAACTTGCTTGAAGTAATGCTTTCAGGATACTCAATATTGAATATTCAATACTGATGGGAAAACTTTCTTAAAGGAAATGGACATTACAGGGTCAACTGGAGGAAAAATAACACATTTACTGCTCAAACATAGCTTGTTGTTTTTATATTTAAAAACATAGGCATTGTAAAAAGTCAAACAAGCCTGAAAAATGTATGGGAGAAGATGAAATGATCACTGAAGTCACATATTCCTCACTGTTAATGATTTAGGGAACATCCTTCTAGAAGGTTCACAGAGCCATACAACTTTACCGAAATGGGATTATGTTGCATCTTGTTTTCCAACCTAATTTTTTCCCACTTAGTAGTATAGCACAGATATGTTTTCATGTCAACCAGTATGACTTTACACTGTTATTTCTTTCTTCTTTTTTTTCTGAGATGGAGGCTCGCTCTGTCGCCCAGGCTGGAGTGCAGTGGCACGATTTTGGCTCACTGCAACCTCCACCTACCTGGTTCAAGCGATTGTTCTGTCTCAGCCTCCTGAGTAGCTAGGATTACAGGTGCCTGCCACCACACCTGGCTAATTTTTGTATTTTTAATAGAGACGGGGTTTCACCATGTTGGCCAGGCTGGTCTTGAACTCCTGACATCCGGTGATCTGCCCGCCTTGGCCTCCCAAAGGGAGGGATTACAGGTGTGAGCCACTGTGCCCGGCCTAATGGTTACACAGTATTCCATGCTGACACCATAATTTACTCATCCAGTTACATTAAATTGGAATGTTCATAGTTGTTGACCTTTAGAACATGCCAGTATTAAGTTTTTGTATTTAAGGTGATGCTAGTTCTAAAGCATATATTCTGAAATCTCAGTGGCTTAACACCTCAGAAGTTTATTTCTCCTTATGTAAAGTTTAGGTTCTCTCCATTTGCTGATGGTTACCTTGAGGTACCAGGCTTGCGTGGAGGGGCTGCTGTGCCTTGCATGGCCATGCAGGGACTCAGGCCCTCTCCAGCGTGTGGTTTGCAAGGTTGCCCTGGCCCTTGCTGCTTAGCTGGCTGATAGTGGAAGAGAAAGTGAAGAAGATGTCACAGGAGGTTTTAATGGATCAGAACTGGAAGTGGCAGATACTGCTTCTGCCCCCATTCCATTGGCCAGAATGTCACATGGCCATACAAAACTGCAAGGGAGGCTGGGAAATGCCACTCATCTGTGTGTGTGGGAGGAAAGGAAATACATTTGGTGAATACTAGCTAGTCTCTAACAGAGCTTCCCCTACTGTTTACCAAATTCCTGTTTTGCTTTTCCCCTCACACACAGAACACACCCCTCCCAGAGTGAGGGACCCTAAGTCCCATCCAGCCCTGGCACCTTGCTTAGTCACTGTTCAGGATCTCTGGGTGATGTGCTGTCTTCCCCATCACATCTAAATGAGGATCCTTGTGGTTTGATGACTTATGAACTAGAAGAGAATAAAGTTATTTGCCTCCTCCCTAGCGCCTCCCAATTTTCAATGAAGCAGGGAAGCATTGTAACATTAGAAGCTCCCATTTAGAACAGAGTAAAGAGCGGGCAGCACAGTCATCACAGGCCCAAAGCAACAATGGAATCCAGTTGGGTGGGCAAGGTGGAGGTTCTCAACCAGAGGGTGGGAGAACTTTCTTGATTAGACCTTGATTTTGCCAGAAAAGGCAATCTCTTCTCAGTTGGTCTCCATGGTCCGAGCTCTGTCCTGGCAAGTTCCTTCTTGCACTTTATTCTCAATGGCTACGTTTGAAGTGATTGCAGGGGAGTCCGCCATCTTAGGAGGGTACACAGCTTTGCAGCCCTCTAGTGCCCTGCTGTTGTTTCAAGGCTCAAATAGACAAACGTCTTTAAAAAATTTTATTTTTAGTCCAGGCTCATGGTTTCTTTGGCCATACATTTATGTCAAAAATTTGATAGGATTCTGTTTTTTTTTTAAATTAATTACTTTTATTTTTGACAAATAATTTACATATTTATGGGGTACAATGTGAAGCTTTCATATATTTATTCACTATGAAATGATTAAACCAAGCTAATTAACATATCCATCATTTCACGTGTGTGTGTGGTATGAAATTTTTGTGTGTGTGTGGTATGAAATTCTTAGCAATTTTGAAATATATTGCATTATTATTAACTATAGTCACCATGCTGTGGAATAAATCTTAAGAACTTATTCCTTCTGTCTAACTGAAGCTTTGTATACTTTGACTAACATCTTCCCATCCACTTCTACCCTTGCCCCAGCCCCTGCTAACCACCATTCTATTCTCTACTTCCGACTTTTTTTAGATTACACCTGTAACTGAGATCATGCAGTATTTTTCTTTCTGTGCTTGGATTACTTGTTTCTGTTCTGTTTTCTTCCCTTAAGTTTTTTATGCCAATAGCAAATCCCTAAGTTTTTTTCCTAGATATTATTACCAAGCTTGAATTATTATATTACTTTCTCACCCTAATACCCTTTTCTGTCAATGAGATGGTGACTTCCTTGAGGCCTTCAGGGTCAGATGGGAAGGCAAAATTCTTAATTAGCTCTTTGCTACAAGGCTGAATCTTTTACCTGTGTCACTCAAAAGCCTTTTCAATCTTGTTTCTTACTCCTCAGACTTTAGAAGCAGTCATTTCTTCCAAGGCTTTACACTCAGAAGTTTCTGGACAAACATCTGGACTCTATTCCCTTTCATTTTATGCTTGCAAACCAACAAATTCTTTTTTTAAAAAAGTATTTTAATAGCTTTAGGAGTACAAGTGGTTTTTGCTTACATGGATGAATGGTATAGTCCTGAAGTCTGAAATTTTAGTGTACCCAAGTTGCGTACATTGTGCCCAATATGTAACTTTTAAAGTCGCCCCTCCCACACTCCCCTATTCTGAGTCTCTAAAGTCCATTATATCACTTTGTGTGCCTTTGTGTATCCATAGCTTAGCTCCCATTTACCAATGAGAAAGTACAGTGTTTGGTTTTCCACTCCTGAGTTAGTTCACTTAGAATAATGGCATTCAGTTCCATCTGAGTTGCTGTAAAATACATTATTTCATTCTTTTTTATGGCTAACTAGTATTCCATGGTGTATATATACCACATTTTCTTCATCCACTCATTGATTGATGGGCACTTAGGTTGGTTCCATAGCTTTGCAATTGTGAATTGTGCTGTGATAATCATATGCATGCAGGTGTCTTTTTGATGTAATGACTTCTTTTCCTTTGGGTACCTAGTCCAGTAGTGGGATTGCTGGATTGAATGGTAGATCTACTTTTAGTTCTTTGAGAAATCTCCATACTGTTTTCCATAGAGGTTATACTGATTTATGTTACCACCAGAAGTATATAAGCTTTTCCTTTTCACCATATCCATGCCAACATCTCTTGTTTTTTGACTTTTTAATAAAGGGCCATTCTGTTTGGGATAAGGTGGTTTCTCATTGTGGTTTTAATTTGCATTCCCTGATGATTAGTGATGGTGAGCAGTTTTTCGTATGTTTCTTGGCCATTTGTATATGTTATTTTGAGAAATGTATATTCATGTCATTTGCCCACTTTTTAAAGGGATTTTTTCCCCTTGCTGATTTGTTTGAGTTCTTTGTAGATTCTGGGTATTAGTCTGTTGTCGGATGCATAGTTTGCAAATATTTTCTCCCATTCTGTGAGTTGTGTGTTTACTCTAATGATTATTTCTTTTGCTGTGTGGAGCATTTTAGTTTAAGTCTTATTTATTTATCTTTGTGTTGGTTGTTTTTGGGGTCTTAGTTATAAATTCTTTGCCTAGGCTACTATCCAAAATAATTTTTCCTAGGTTTTGTTCTAGAATTTTTATGGTTTCAAGTCTTAGATTTAAGTCTGTAATCCATCTTGAGTTGATTTTTGTGTATAGTGAGAGATAGAGATCCAGTTTCATTCTTCTACATGTTGCTATTTAGTTTTCCCAGCACCATTTATTGAATAGCATGTCCTTTCTTCAATTTATGTTTGTATATGCTTTGTTGACGATCAGTTGGTTGTAACTATTTGGCTTTATTTCTGGGTTCTCTATTCTATTCTATTTGTCTATGTATCTACTTTTATACCAATACCATGCTATTCTGATTACAATAGCCTTGCAGTATAATTTGGAGTCAGTTATTGTGATGCATCCAGATTTGTTCTTTTTGCTCAGGATTACTTTGGCTGTCTGTGCTCTTTTTTTGGTTCTATATGAATTTTAGGATTGTTCGTTCTTTCTTTTTCTTTTCTTCAACTTTTATTTTAAGTTCATGGGTACATGTGGAGGATGTGCAGGTTTGTTACACAAGTAAACGTGTGCCATGGTGGTTTGCTGCACAGATCATCCTATCAACTAGGTATTAAGCCCAGCATCAATTAGCTATTCTTCCTGATGCTCTCCCTCCCACCCACTGCCCACTGATAGTTCCCAGTGTGTGCTGTTCCCCTCTATGTGTCCATGTATTTTCATCATTTAGTTCCCACTTATAGATGAGAGCATGCATTCTTTGGTTTTCTGTTCCTGTGTTAGTTTCTGGAGGATAATGGCTTCCAACTCCGACTCCATCCATATCCCTGCAAAGGACATGATCTTGTTCCTTTTTATGGCTGCATAGTATTCCATAGTGTATATGCACCACATTTATTTATCCAGTCCATCATTGATGGGCATTTAGATTGATTTTATATCTTTGGTATTGTGAAAAATGCTGCAATGAACATACACATGCATGTATCTTTATAACACAATGATTTATATTTTTTGGGGTGTATACCCCGTAATGGGATTGATGAGTCAAATGGTACGCCTCTAGGTCTTTGAGGAATCACTACACTGTCTTCCACAATGGTTGAACTAATTTACACTCCCACCAACAATGTAAAAGCATTTCTTTTTCTCCACAACCTCACCAGCATCTGTTGTTTTTTGACATCTTAGTAACAGCCATTCTGACTGGTGTTAGATCGTATCTTATTGTGGTTTTTATTTGCATTTCTCTAATGATCAGTTATGTTGAGCGTTTTGTCATGTTTGTTGGCTGGATGTATGTCTTCTTTTGAAAAGTGTCTGATGATAGTTTCTTTTGCTGTGCAGAAGCTCTTTAGTTTAATTAGATACCATTTGTAGGTTTTTGCTTTTGTTGCAGTTGCTTTGGTGTTTTCATCATGAAATCTTTGTCCATGCCTATGTCCTGAATGGTATTGCCTTGGTTGTCTTGCAGCATTTTTATAGTTTTGGGTTTTACACTTAAGTCTTTAATCCATCTTGAATTGATTTTTGCTTAAGGTGTAAGGGATGGGTCCAGTTTCAATTTTCTGCATATGGCTAGCCAGCTCTCTCAGCACCATTTATTAAATATGGAGTCCTTTCCCCATTGCTTGTTTTTGTCTAGTTTGTTGAAGATCAGATGGTTGTAGGTGTTGGGTCTTATTTCTGAGTTCTGTATTCTGTTCCATTGGTCTATGTGTCTGTTCCTGTACCAATACCCTGCTGTTTTGGTTACTGTAGCCTTGCAGTATAGTTTGAAGTTGGGTAGCCATGATGCCTCCAGCTTTGTTCTTTTTGATTATGATTGTCTTGGCCATTTGGGATTTGTTGGTTCCACATGAATTTTAAAATAGTTTTTTCTAATTCTGTGAAGAATGTCAATGGTAGTTTAATGGGAATAGCATTGAATCTATAAATTGCTTTGGGCAGTATGGCTATTTTCATGATATTGATTCTTCCTGTTCATGAGCATGGAATGTTTCTCCATTTGTTTGTGTCCTGTACGATTTCTTTGAGCAATGGTTTGTAGTTCTCCTTGAAGAGGTCCTTCACTTCCCTTGTTAGCTGTATTCCTAGTTATTTTATTCTTTTTGTAGTAATTGTGAATGGGAGTTCATTTATGATTTGGCTCTTTGATTGCCTGTTGTTGGTGTGTAGGAATGCTAGCAATTTTTGCACATTGATTTTGTATCCTGAGACTGCTGAAGTTGCTTATCAGCTTAAAAAGCTTTTGGGCTGAGATGATGGGGTTTTCTAGATATAGGATCATGTCATCTGCAAACAAAGATAATTTGACTTCCTCTCTTCCTATTTGAACACCCTTTATTTTGTTCTCTTATCTGATTGCCCTGGCCAGAACTTCCAATACTATGTTGAATAGGAGTGGCGAGAGAGGACATCTTGTTTTGGGCTGTTTTTCAAGGGGAATGCTTCCAGCTTTTGCCCAGTCAGTATGATATTGGCTGTGGGTTTGTCATATATGGCTCTTATTATTTTGAGGTATGTTCCTTCAATACCTAGTTTATTGAGAATTTTTAACATGAAGGGATGCCAGATTTTATCGAAGGCCTTTTCTGCATATATTGAGATAATCATGTGGTTTTTGTCTTTAGTTCTGTTTATGTGATGAATCACATTTATTGATTTGCATATGTTGAACCAACTTTGTATCCTGGAGATGAAGCCAACTTGATTCTAGTGGATAAGCTTTTTGATGTGCTGCTGCATTCAGTTTGTCAGTATTTTATTGAAGGTTTTTGCATTGATGTTCATTAAGGATATCGGCCTGAGGTTTTCTTTTTTTTTGTTGTATCTCTGCCAGGTTTTGGTATCAGGATGATGCTGGCCTCATAGAATAAATTGGGGATGAGTCCCTCCTTTTCAATTTTTTGGAATAATTTCAGTCAAAATGATACCCCTTTTTCTTTGTACCTCTGGTAGAATTCAGCTGTGAATCTGTCTGTTCCTGGGCTTTTTTTGGTTGGTAAGCTATTTATTACTGTCTCAATTTCAGAACTCATTATTGGTCTATTCAGAGATTCAATTTCTTCCTGGTTCAGTCTTGGGAGGGTGTATGTGTCTAGGAATTTATCCATTTCTTCTAGATTTTTTAGTCTATGTGCATAGAGGTGTTTACAGTATTTTCTGATGGTTGTTTGTATTTCTGTGGGGTTAGTGGTGATATCTCCCTTAACATTTTCTATTGTATCTATTTGATTCTTCTCTCTTTTCCTCTTTGTTAGTCTAGCAAGTGATCTATTTTATTATTTTTTTCAAAAAACCAGTTTCTGGATTTGTTGATTTTTTTGAAGGGTTTTTTGTGTCTCTGTCTTCTTCACTTATTATGCCCTCATCCTGGTTATTTCTTGTCTTCTAGCTTTGGAGTTTGTTTGCTCTTGGTTCTCTAGTTCTTTAGTTGAGATGTTAGGTTGTTAACTTGAGATCTTTCTAGCTTTTGATGTGGGCATTTAATGCTCTAAATTTCCCTCTTAACACCACTTTACCTGTGTCCCAGAGATTCTAGGACATTGTCTCTTTGTTCTCATTAGTTTCAAAGTACTTATTGATTTCTGCCTTAATTTCATTATTTACCCAAGAGTCATTCAGGAGCAGGTTGTTCAGTTTCCATGTAGTTGTGTGGTTTTGAGTGAATTTCTTAATCTTGAGTTCTAATTTGATGGTGCTGTGGTCTGAGAGACTGTTATGATTTCAGCTCTTTTGCATTTGCTGAGGAGTGTTTTATTTCCAATTATGTGATCAGTTTTAGAGTAAGTGCCATATGTCAATGAGGAGAATGTATATTCTGCTGTTTTGTGGTGGAGAATTCTGTAGATATCTATCAGATCCACTTGATCCAGGGCTGAGTTCAGGTCCTTACTATCTTTATTAATTTTCTGTCTTGATTTGTCTAATATTGTCAGTGGGTTGTTAAAGTCTCCCACTATTATTGTGTGGGAGTCTAAGTAGTCTAAGTGTGTCATTCTTGAAGAACTTGCTTTATGAATCTGGGTGCTCCTATATTGGATGCATATATATTTAGGATAGTTAGCTCTTGTTGAATTGAACTCTTTACCATTATTAATGCCCTTCTTTATATTTTTTGATCTTTGTTGGCTTAAAGTCTTGTTTTGTCAGAAATTAGGATTGCAACCCCTACTTTTTTCTGTTTTCCATTTGCTTGGTAAATTTTCCTTCATCCTTTTATTTTGAACCTGTGTATGTCTTGCATGTGAGATGGGTCTCTTGAAGACAGCACACCAGTGGGTCTTGGCTCTGTCCAGCTTGCCATTCTGTGTCTTTTAATTGGGGCATTTAGCCCAAAAAAAAAATATATATATTTTATATTTTTTGAGATGGAATTTCACTCTGTGTCACCCAGGCTGGAGTGCAATGGTGCAGTCCCAGCTCACGGCAACCTCTGCCTCCCGGGTGAAGCGATTCTCCTGCCTCAGCCTCCCGAGTAGCTGGGATTACAGGCACCTGCCATCTTTTAGTAGAGATGGGGTTTCACCATGTTGGCCAGGCTGGTCTCGAACTCTTGACCTCAGGTGATTTGCCTGCCTCAGGCTTCCAAAGTGCTGGGATTACAGGTGTGAGCCACTGTGCCTGGCCTAGCCCATTTATATTTAAGGTTAGTATTATTATATGTGAATTTGATCCTGTCATCATGATGCTAGCTGGTTATTTTGCAGACTTGTTTATGTAGTTGCTTCATAGTGTCACTGGTCTGTGTAGTTCAGTGTGTTTTTGTAGTGGCTGGTAACAGTTTTTCGTTTCCATATTTAGTGCTTCCTGGTGGTGATGAATTCTCTCAGCCTTTGCTTGTCTGAAAAGGATCTTATTTCTCCTTCATTTATGAACCTTAGTTTGGTCAGATATGAAATCTTGGGTTGGAAATTCTTTTCTTTAAGACTGTAGAATATTGGCCCACAATCTCTTCTGGCTTGTAGGGTTTCCATTGAGAGGTCCTCAGTTAGTCTGATTGGCTTCCCGTTGTAGGTGACCTGGCCTTTCTTTCTGGCTGCCCTTCACTTTTTTTTTTTCATTTCGACCTGGAGAATCTGATGATTATGTGTCTGGGGGTTGATCTTCTCATGGAGGATCCTACTGGGGTTCTCTGCACTTCCTGAATTGAATATTGGCCTATCTTGCCAGGTTGGGTGAGTTCTCTTGAATGATATCCTGAAGTGTGATTTCCAACTTGGTTCCATTCTCCCTGTCCCTTTCAGGTATCCCAATCAGTTGGAGGTTTGGTCTCTTCATAGAATCCCATATTTCTTGGAGGTTTTGTTCATTCCTTTTCATTCTTTTTTCTCTATTCTTGTCTGCCTGTCTTATTTCAGAAAGATAGTCTTTAAGCTCTGAAATTCTTTCCTCCACTTGGTCTATTCTGCTATTGATACTTGTGATTGCATTGTGAGGTTCTCGTGTTGTGTGTTTTCAGCTCCATGAGCTTGGTTATGTTCCTCTCTAAACTGGCTATTCTGGCTATCAGCTTCTGTATTGTTTTATCATGATTCTTAGCTTCTTTGCATTGGGTTACAACATGCTCCTTTTACTCAGTGAAGTTTGTTATTACCCACCTTCTGAAGTCTACTTCTGTCAGTTCAGTCATCTCAGCCTCAGCCCAGTTCTGTTCCCTTGCTGGAGAGGTGTTACTGTCATTTGGAGGAGAAGAGCCACTCTGGCTTTTTGAGTTTTCAGCACTGATTCTTTGCTTATCTTTGTGGGCTTATCTACCTTCAATCTTTGAGGTTGCTGGCCTTTCAATAGGGTTTTGTGGGATTCTTTTTGTTGATCTTTTTGTTGTTGTTGTTTTCTGTTTGTTTTTCTTTTCATAGTCAGGCCACTCTACCGTAGGGCTGCTGCAGTTTGCTGGGGGTCTGCTCCAGACCTTGGTTGCCTTGGTTTTTCCTGTACCTGGAGATATCACCAGTGAAGGCTGCAAAACAGCAAAGATGGCTGCCAGCTCCTTCCTGTGGAAGCTCTGTGCCAGGGGGATACTGACCTGTTGCTGGCCAGAACATATCTGTAAGAGGTGGCTGGAGACCCCTGTTTGGAGGTCTCACCCAGTCAGGTGGAATGGTATCAGGGACCCATTTAAAGATGAGTCTTGCTGCTTTTTGTCTGAGGAGGTGTGCTGCATTGTGGCAGACCCTTCCTCATCTGGACTGTTTGCATTCTCCAAAGCCAGCAGGCTGGAATGGTTGAGTCCACTGAACCACAGAGATGGCAGCCACCTCTCCCCCTGGGAGCTGCATCCGAGGGAGAGGTCAGAGTTCTGTTAATAGAACCCTTGTTGGCGTGGCTGAAGCCCCCACAGGGAGGTCCCTCCCAGTAAGGAGGAATGAATCGGGGTCCCACTTAACGAAGCAATCTGGCCACAGTGTGGCAAAGCAGCTGTGCTGCATTGTGGGGGGCCCTTCCTCATCTGGACCATTTGTATTCTCCAAAGCTGGCAGGCTGGAAAGGCCAAGTCTACTGGACCAAAGAGATGGTGGCTGCCCCTCTCCCTGGAAACTCGGACCTATCTCAGGCAGATTCCAGCCTGTTGCTGTTGTATGCCTAAGTTAAGTTGGTATAAATTCAAAATAGATTGTTATAACTATAGGATATTATATGTAATTCCCATGGTAGCCACAAAGAAAATATCTATAGAATGTACACAAAAGGAAATGAGAAAGGCATCAAAATGTGCCTCTGTAAAAAAAAGGTCAACAAAACACAAAGAAAACTGGTCATGGAGAAAATGAGGGTCAAAAATACTGTAAGATATAAAGGAGGCAAAATGGCAAAAGTAAGTCCTTCCATATTAGTAATCGAGACTCTGTCTTAAACAAAACAAAACAAAACAAAAGAAACAAACAAGCAAACGAAAAACGTCCAGTCAAAAGCATAGATTGGCAGAATGAATTAAAGAAAAACATGATCTAACTGCATGCTATGAGAGACCCACTTTAGATCTAAAGGTTGAAAGTGAAAGCATAGAACAAGATGTAAATAGTAACAAAAAGAGAGCTTTGGTGTCTACACTAATATCATAAAATAGAATTTAAGTCAAAAATTTTTACAAGAAAAAAGGACATTATATGTTGATAAAAGGGTCAATTTACCTAGAAGATACAACAATTCAAAACATATATGCACCAAACATCAGAGCTCCACAATATACGAAGCAAATGTTGACAGAAATGAAGGGAGTAATAGACAACTCTGCAATCAAATGCCTGAATAATGCAGTATGTGGGCTAGTCCAGCCTCTCTCATGATTTCCACATCACTTTGATGTGGACATCCTGGACATCTGCAGTTTTCAGTTACTTCCTGTTTCCTGCTGGCATTTAAGTCCCTTGTACTTTATGTGAATTCTTACTTCAGTTATACTGCCCCTACAACTTGCAATGAACATTCTCACTTTGGTTGTATCACTTTCCACCCTCCTGCCTGAAATCTGATGCTTTCCTTCAAGCTCCATCCCCACTAGGAAGCCTTTTGTATGAGCTAAGATTAACAACTTGCATCCTTTACCCTCCACGTGTTGCATATACCTATACCACTCATTTAGCACATCACATTTGATACTTATTTATTTGACACATGTAGCTATATTTAATCTATTTGTTTGGTCTCCTCCATAACCAGAGCTTTATTTCCATGGGGGCTAATGCTCCTTTAAGTTTCTGGCAATGATTACTGTTATATAGATGCAGAATCTTATTTTTTTAATGAATTAACAGATGTCTCCCTAAATTAGGCCCAAATACTGATCTTAATCCTAAGGATTAGCTAATAGAAGCATCATAGGTATTAAGTTGGACAGATATGGCCAAACTGTTTAATTTTGTGAGCTTCAGTTTCATGTGCTAATGCCATATCTATCTATCTATCCATCTATCTATCCATCCATCCATCCATCCATCCATCCATCCATCCATCCGTCTATCTATGTCTAGCTTGACCATCACAACAGTCTAAGGAGAAGCTATGCTTATCCCTGTTTTTCAGATGAGGAAACTGAGACCCAGAGACATTAAGTAATTTGCCAAAATTACCCAACTCACACATGAAAGAGTCAAGGTTTGAACCTAGATCTCCCTGACTCCACTGCTTGTTATTTTAAACATCTACAATATTTACCTTTCAGTTCTTGAACTTAATCTTGCCTGAGATCTAAGTTCAAGCCTTTCATTATCCACATCCCCCCATATCTAATGATAGTTGTGGTAGGCAGAATAATATCCCCCCAAAGATGTCTGCATCCCAATCCTGGAACCTATGAATATTTTACCTTGCATGACAAAAAGGGACTTTGCAGATGAGATTAAGTTAAGGATCTTTAGATGGAGAGACTATCTTTGCTATCCATGTGAACCCAATGTAATCATAGGGTGCTCATAAAGGAAAGAGGGAGGCAGGAGTCAAAGTCAGAGAGAGATTTGAAGATGCTCAACTGCTTTTGAAGATGGAGAAAGGGACCAAAGCCAAGGAATTCACTGACACCTTGATTTTAGCCCAGTGAGACTCACTTTGACCTCCAGAACTGTAAAATAATAGATTTGTGTTGCTTGAAGCCACTAAATTTATAGTAATTTGTTATGGCAGCAATAGGAGACTAATACAGTTGACCCTCGAACGACACAGGTTTGAACTGTGAGTCCACTTCTACATGAATTTTTTTTTTAGTAAATATATTAGAAATATTTTTGGAGATTTGTGGCAACTTGAAAAAACTCGCAGACAAACCATGTATCCTAGAAATATAAAAAAAAAATAAGAAAAAGCTATGTTATGAATGCATAAAATATATGTAGATACTAGTCTATTTTATCATTTACTACCATAAAATGATACACACATCTATTCTAAAAAGTAAAAATTTATCAAAACGTATGCAAACAGAGTGTACATGGCATCCTTTGCAGTGGAGAGAAATAGAAACAACATAAAAAATGCAGTATTAAATCATAATTGCATACAATTAACTGTATACATAAGGTACTGTGGTAATAATCGCTGCATTGCCACCTACATTGCTATTGTGGTGAGCTCAAGTGTGGGAAGTATCCACTTAAAATGCCATGTGATGCTAACCGTCTGCACATGAGCAGTTTCTCTCTCCAGTAAATTGCATATTGCAATGAAAGTTATCTCTTTCAGTTCTCACATTTTTTTTTGTGTTTGGAGCAATACTATAAACTTTGAGTAACACAGCGGGACTCATACGAAGTGCCACTACTGATGCTGGAAGTGCTCCCAAAAAGCAGAGAAAAGTCATGACATTACAAGTAAAAGCTGAATTGCTTGATGTGTGCTATAAATTGAGATCTGCACTGTGGTTGCCCACCATTTCGGACAGATGATTCAGCTTGTAAGCAGACAATGTAAACTTACAATATCAATAAGTAAAGTACAGTAGTGTAAATACATTTTCTCTTCCTTATGATTTTCTTAATATTTTCTTTTCCCTAGCTTACCTTAATTGTAAGAATATAATACATATACAGAATATGTGTTAATTGACCTTTTCTGTTATCAATAAGGCTTCTGGTCAACAATAGCCTATTAGTAGGTAAGATTTTGGAGATTCAAAAGTTACAGTGAATTTTAACTGTGCAGGTGATTGATGCCTAATTCCCATGTTGTTCAAGGGTCAACTGTACAATAGGTTTTCTGCTTTCCTTACCCTCCTGATGATTTCTGAACTAGTTCTACAGAGTTTCCTCTTTTCCTTTGCATCTCTCCTTCCCACTGCCACCATCCAGATTGTTTTCAGAGCGGCACTTCATCAGCTGCATCGTCACCCTCTGAGGGTGTGGAAGGGCTCTCACTTCCACTTAAGGCCATGCCATGCTAATTGCCTTTCTGGCTCTTTTCTCTTAAAAGGTGGTGCTTAGAAAGGAAAGGAATAGTCCATATGTGGTCTTAGTAGGACAGGGAACAGTAGGTCTTTACCTCCCTTAATCCGAATGTTAGATCTCTTCAATGCAATCAAGGTAATGCTTATTTTTTTTTGGCACCCACATCACATCCACTGCTCACTCAGGTTGAGTTTATTGATAACTACAACCCCAAGCTTTTCATGTCATATTAAAGCAAAAGCCATTATGAGCTGTTCTTATATCTCGTAGAATGTCTGCCATCTTGTGTCATGTAGCTTTTGTCTCAGGAAAAAAAAAAAAAAAAAAAAGCACAGTACGAATTAATCTCTCCAGGGAAAGATTTAAAGACTAGGATAATAAGGAGAGACAGATGGAATTCTGAGAGAAATATGGCAAATTCTAGAGCTAATCTAATTAAAGGGCCATGGGAACTTCTCCCTGGCGCATAAATAAAATATGACAATCAGTGTCAGCTAAGAAACCCTTAGCAAATACCTAATCTCATTTTTAAATTTATCATTACATAGAACTGTTATCTTTTAACAAATAATGGTATGATGCAAAATAAGCTGAGAGAAGCCAACAGACACAGGCCAGGCAGCTGCCCAGCCTCTCTGCCCACCCCTCCCTACATACACTTCAGGTGGCATGGGCTCTCCCAGCCATTTCGATACATGACACCTCTGTGACCTCGCCAGCTTGAAGGATAAAATGAAAGGTTCTTAGTGAAGGAAAAAGGCGTTCATCTTCACCCCATCGTAATGGGCTCTGAGGAGGACTGGCAACATGTAGAATCTGGAGAGGAGAGGTCAGGACTGGCTGCAGAGGAGGAAGCTGCTGAGGTGATTAGTAGTTCTCAGAGAGGGCCTTGTTCTTTCCCTTTAAATTCAAAATGGCAGTGCCTCAAACCCTCTGGGCTTCCTGGAATTTGTGTTTAAATGTTTATGTATTTCCAGGCGAATATTCAAACAATGTAGCTAAGATGTGGTACCTTCAAAGCAAGTAAACCAGCTGGCTTCCCTGCTATGATCCCCTTGCACAGCCTGGCCCTTCAGACAGGAGCCTGTATTCTGAAGGAAGTCCTTACAGAGCAGCTTGGATCTACTACCCCTTAAAAGAAGGAGGAACTGGTGAAATTATTTCCATTAACTTTAAGGTACTCAAGAGGACCACAGAGGTCTTATTCTTTTCAGTTTGGATAAATCTGGGGCAGTCCAAAGGTTGCCAAGGGAGGTAGGAAGAAAAGTTTAATTTGCACACTTGAGCTTTACAGTCTGTCTGACTTCATTGGAGTTTACTTCTTTTTAAATTGCAGACTCAGGGCTTAAATACTTCCTTACCTTCAGTGACCTTTCCTGAGCCCTCCTGTTCCTGATAAGCTGCAGGGCAGTGCTTTCTTTCCTATGATGTGTTGTCATATTAACACACACACCCAGAGTGATTACTGTGTTCACTTCCCCTGGATGTGCTTCATCTTTGTTGAGTTAAAATCAAATTGCTTTCTACTTCAGTAAATCCAATTCAGCCTTCTTACTGACCATGGGTTAAAGTTTTAATTTAAAATTCCCTTTCTTTTAAAAATTAGCAATTCAAATTCAAGGTGGTAAAGCAGCCCACATTCTGAGATTGTTGGTGTTGGAAAGGGCCTTAGCTATCGTCTGTCCTGCGTGATGCTTCTGTTGAATTATCTCAAGGACAGAATAGTTACTACTTTGAACAGATTAGGTGGAATGATGTAAATGAAAGTGCTTTGTAACTTGTAGGACATTAAAAAATAAATATTATTAGCATTTATAAAGATGCTTTTTCCATTGTTGCCAATGTTACTTATTTTTTCAAAACTACTTTATTGAGGTCTTATTGACATAAAAAAAGCTGTACATACTTAGCTGGGCGTGGTGGGGGGTGCCTGTAATGCAAGCTACTTGGGAGGTCAAGGCTGGAGAATTACTTGAACCTGGGAGATGGAGGTTGCAGTGAGCTGAGGTTGCACTATTGCACTCCAGCCTGGGTGACAGAGCAAGACTCTGTCAAAAAAAAAAAAAAAGCTGTGCATACTTAATACATACATCTTGATAAGTTTCAGGATAAGTACAACACACTTGTGAAAACCACCTGTGAATCCCACTTGTGAAACCAATCATTAAACATGTCCCTCAACTCCCAAAGTTTCTTCTTTATTATTACTATGATTAATTTTTTTTGGTGAAAGCATATAACATAAAATCTACCCTAGGCAAATTTTAAGTATACAATGCAGTGTTTGTTAGCTATAGGCATTATGCTGTATAGTACAGCATACTGTACTTACTAGCTTAAGCTTTAGATATTATAACATGTGTTTTCCTGTTGAACTCCTGTCTTCCTTCTTGTGGGTATAAACTAGAATAACTTTATAGATCGCTTGGGAACATTTTTCACCTCAAGCGGCCATTCCTGTCCAGGTGTGGGATGTGCAACACAGTGGTCCAAGAGATGATTTTCAGAGTCACAAGGACATGGCATGGGGTACCATTGACTCACGTTCTCCTGCTAAGGTGAAAGTCTCAATTTGCTGCTAGTGCATCTTTAACCTTCTCTAACTCTCATTTCCCTTTGTTATAAAGACAGAGCTCAGCAGACTTCTGTCCCAAAATCTTTGGCCAACAGCAAACCATATTTGTATGGTTATCTTCTAATTATGGGGAGTGATTTTCATATCCCAGTGATAGTGATACCAAAAAAGAATAAAAGTATCCTTTAAATTGACAAGCACCATGAAGTGGTTTGAGACTGGCTGGTGTTTGGGACATGGCTTTCCACGGAGCTTGAGAGATGGGCCATGGATCAGATTACTGCCCACTGTGACAGACAACACACAATTTGCCATTTCCTATGGCAGTCTTTGACATATCTGAAGTCAGTGCTCATGTGTCCTTTCAGCCTTCCCTTCTTTAGGTCTCACCCTTCCAGTTTCTTCACATGTTCCTTATTTGATGTTCTCCTGCAATGGTGACTGGAGTCTATCAGTTTTTCTTTTGAGGAAGCTCCCTGTTCATCATTTTTATAGAAGGAGCCCTTGTTCTGATATCAGAGAGCAGTTCCTCAAGTTGGTTGAGAAAGGGAAGTCAGGGAGCAAAGGAGAGTTAATAGGGATGACATGGAAGAATTGCAGTGATAGGGATGCCTGGGAATTGTTAGGAGAACACTTAGGTCCTTAGATGTCTTTATGTTGGTGTACAAAATAGGGGTTATCAAAACTATAAAAACCCTGGAAGATAACTGAGGCAATACCATTCAGGACATAGACATGGGCCAAGATTTCATGATGAAGATGCCAAAGCAATTGCAACAAAAGCAAAAATTGACAAATTGGATCTAATTAAACTTAAGAGCTTTTGCACAGCAGAAAAAACTATCAACACAGTAAACAGACAACCTACAGAATGGGAGAAAATTTTTACAAACTGCATCCAACGAAGGTCTAATATCCAGCATCTATAGGGAACTTAAACAAATTTACAAGAAAAAAAACAAACAACCCCATTAAAAAGTGGGCAAAGGACATGAACAGACACTTTTCAAAAGAAGACATACATGCAGACAACAATCATATGAAAAAAGCTCCACATCACTGATCATGAGAGAGGTGTAAATCAAAACCACAGTGAGATACCATCTAACACCAGTCAGAATGGATATTATTAAAAAGTAAAAGAATAACAGATACTGGCGAGGTTGTGGAGAAAAAAACGCTTATATGCTGTCGGTGGGAGTGTAAATTAGTTCAGCCATTGTGGAAGACACTGTGGTGATTCCTCAAAGACCTAAAGACAGGAATATCATTTGACCCAACAATTCTATTGTGGGGTATATACCCAAAGGAATATAAATCTTTCTATTATAAAGACACATGCATGTGTATGTTCACTGCAGCACTAGTCACAACAGCAAAGATATGGAATCAATCTAAATGCCAATCAATGATAGACTGGATAAAGAAAATGTGGTACATATATACCATGGAATACTATGCAGCCATAAAAAAGAATGCGATAGGGACCTGGATGGAGCGGGAGGCCATTATCCTTAGCAAACTAACACAGAAACAGAAAACCAAACACCGCATGTTCTCACTTATAAGTGGGAGCTAAATGGTGAGAACACATGGACATATAGAGGGGAACAATGCACACTAGGGCCTATTGAAGAATTGGAGGGTTGAAGGAGGAAGAAGACTAGGAAAAATAACTAATGGGTACTAGGCTTAATACCTGGGTGATGAAATAGTTTGCACAACACACCTCCATGACACAAGTTTACCTACATGCCCCTGAACTTAAAAGTTAAAAAAACACAAAAATAAAATAGGGGTTATAAGCAAAATGTGTGCAACAGGTGGTACATGTGTAAAGACTGTCAAGATTGGGTTGAAAAGTCTGTGAGAGTGCCTTTGCAGCTTGCTTCTCTGAGCCTTAAGGTGTTCCACCTCTAAAATTGGTTGAAATGAGGTATTGTATGGAAAAGGCTTTGGTAAACGAGGAAGTGCTATACAAATGTCAAATATTAGTTTTTTCATTAGTTATATTGTTATTTTATGTCACTGTTATAACATTGACATTCTGTTCAGTGTTTATCCTGGTTTCTCTTCAGATCATATAAATCTTGTGACTTTTACGAAAGATTCCCATGAAGAGGAACAACTCTGAGACTTAAACCAATTTTTCAGCCTTGGTGCTTTGTATAAAGGATCCAGCACTCCCCAGTAGTCCTTTCATAAAAGAGCCCTGCCATTCCCAAGTCCATTGTCATGATTTATTGCTTGCTTGTTGGGATTTCACCATCTAGAGGTTTTTAATCAAGAAAGCCTATGGTTGTTTTAGTATCCAAATCCATGCATGTTAAATAATGACTTTTTATTGTCTTTATAATGTCTGCCAACCTGGCTGGGTATAAAATTCTTGAGTATGCCCTGCTCCCCACCTCCATCCAAACTGTATAGGGAGTGTTACTTGGCGTTGAATATTGCCTTGGAAGCCAGCTTTAATTTTGCCCTTTGTACATGACTTGAGTTTTTTCAGAGAATCAGTCAGGATTCATTCTTTTTTCTTTGGATTTCAGTGATTTTACCAGGACATCTTGGTGTTGGTCATAATATTTCAATTTGTTTTTTAGGAGCTGTGTGATCTTTTATTTGTAGGTTTAGTTTGGTTTCCTATTTATTTTTTCTTCTCAAGGGACATCAATTGTCCATATTTTTGTTTGCCTTGTGTATATATCATCTTCCTTTTCATTATTTTTTTTTTACCTTTTCCTTTGCATTTTGCTATTTTCTCAAGTTGATATTCCATACCATTGACTCTATTTTCAGCTGTAACTGTGCCTCTTGCTGCTTCTGAGATGGCTTCATATTATGAATGAACTGAGCAGAACACCCAGGCAGGCATCAGTTGGCCTATGGTAAATCTTCCTAGGTTATCATAAAAAAATTAACATTACCATAGCTCAGATTAATAGTTGGCCAATAGCTGCCTTCTTCTCCCCAGCTCAACACATGCTTGAACTCTCCATTCTCCTGAGTAAAGGACCTTGGAAAAACACTCCTTAAGAACTGGAGAAGGTTGTATTGGTTTTAGTATCTGCCATTAATTTTATCCACATTTTACAGTATTTGGCAGGTATTCTCATGGTTTTAAGAAGCAATATAGTGTTAAGAGCATAGTTATGGAGAAAACTGCCTGGGTTTTAATTAAAATTTTTCCAGTTGCTAGCCATGTGAGGTTGGGCAAGCTACTTAACCTCTTGATTCCTCAGTTTTCCTCATTTGTGAAGGAGGTTAGTAATAGCACTGCTATGAGATGAAATGAATTAATATTTGTAAAATGCTTATAACCCTGCTGGGTACAAAGTAGGTGTCTTGAAGTGATCATAAGATGCATTGTCAATAAACTTTCCTCCCCAATTTCTCAATCACTTTGCTCATTTCAGTGGGTTTCACAGAGGTGTCATTAACTGTCTTTATTCCATTATATTGTGCCAGAGGTTGCCTGATTTGTTTTGCTCATAACGGGATTGTTTTAATTATTCATTTAGAATTGCATCCAGAATATATAACTGGCTGGCTAGTCTGTGCTTCTTAGATTCTGTTTTTTTTCTCTTCTTGAAACGAGAATACTTGTCAATCTTTGATCTTCAGTAAGTCCATGATTTCTCAAGGTCTATTGAGTATATTTCTGTCATCATGTCTGTCAGTTCTTTTAGTACTAGATCCTGACTGATTTGACCTCAGTTGGGGACATGAACTCATTTGAAATGGCTAGGTACTCTCTTTCTATCTTTTTACCTCTCTTGGGCTTCAATTCCTCCTAAATTATGCTACCACTATCTTTTTCAATCTGAAGATCATTTTCTTTAATAGAGATGAAGGCTGAGAATTTGAGCTATGTCATTCTGCCCTGTCTTCTCTCTTATCTATTATCACTGTGCCCTAGATACTGGGCACTTCCCTGCCTGGTTGACTTTCTTGTCCTGCTCCATTTGTTTGTGTGTTTGTTTGAAGCACACCTTTGTGCTGTCCTTAGTATATTTACAGGAAGTGGAGCTCATTCTGGCCTTTGGTCTTCTTGACATTTTTCTTATTGCTTTGTGACCCCCTTGGGCTTACTCCTGGTTGCTTCCCTTCTGTGGATCTTTGTACATGTCCTTTGAAAATTTCTGCCTTTCAGACAGCTTCCTTTTCAATCTCAGAAGTACTTGTAGATACTTTACCCACCTTGTCTGCCTTGGCATTATTGTACTAATTAATGTCTTGGGGCACTTGGGAAAGATACCTGTTGTTCCTTAACTCCCTGACCTGGGGGTTTGGTTTGGGAGAGGTGAGAAGAGGCCCAGAAATCTGCATTTCCACAAACCTCCCAGGTGATTTTGATGCACGTGACCCCCAGATCACACTCATGCCTAACTAGTTTGGTGCAGAAGCTCCTAACCTCTTTTTTCTGATCAAGCTGTCCATGAAGCTGAGTTGATGAGTGACCTCTGGTGAGTGCAGGGGGACTCCCTGGGGCTTACCCCAGGGTCAGGTGCAATGGTTCTTGGCTTGAAGCCAGCTCTAATTCTGTGCCTTCCTTTGCCACTCAAGAAAGACAACTGAATATCTGAACTTGAATCTGTTTTCATTATAAAGAATTAAATAACTCGCAGTTTTAGTGCTTTATTACTTCCTCCAACATATCTTCCACTCCATTACTGGTGTGCTGTCCCCTGGAGGTGGGAAAATGACTCACTCAGCATCCTTTCCTTGGCTATTTCTTTCTTTTCTTTTCTTTTTTTAAGAAACTGGGGTCTCTCTCTGTTGTCCAGGCTGGAGTGCAGTGGCTATTCATAGGTTTATCATAATGCACTATACCCTTGAACTCCTGGGCTCAAGGAGGCTGGGCTACTCCTCAGCCTCTTGAGTAGCTGGGACTATAGGTAGGCGCCACCACATCTGGCTTTCTTCTTGGCTATTTTTAACTCTAGTTTGACCTGGTCACTTTCTCCAGAGATTTCTTTCCTTCCACATAATCTGTAAATTCTGAATGGCTGTCAGATTAAGTCTGATGCCATTCACTAGAAAAGATCTTTCATTAGGAGGCTCTACTTGAAACCAAACGGACTACAGCACATTTTCAACTTGGAAAGATTTGAAGAACTGGGAAGCATGAAGATCTTTGTACCTAATTCAAGGCAGTGATGTTTGGACACTTCGACTGTGTCGTGTTTCTCTTAGAGCTCTTAGTAGGCTGGTTATTCTGAAAGGTTGGAGTGTCTCATAGATAAACAACAAACATCATTGAGTAATTATACTTTTGGGGCTCACGTTTGAGTATTGACAACTGTGAAAAGAGGAGGTATAGACTCCTTACGAGTTTAGTCCTATGCTCTAAGACATGTGCATTTATCCCAGACTCTCGTATAAAAAGCCAGTGCCCATTGTGTGCAGAATAGGGTAGGACTGAGGCCAGACTTCCTGGGATCTAGTCCTGGAGCTAGCACTAACCAGCTGTGTTACTTATCTCCTATAAACCTCAGTGATCTTATCTTAAAAATAAGGTGATAATGATCCTTACCTCATTCAGTTTTGGCGAGGATTAAATGACATAAAATATGTTAAGAGCTTAGAATATGTCTGGCACTTAGTAAGTGCTCAGTGAATTTATGATGCGTAAATGGACATCAGATTATGTCAGATTTGTCAAGCTAGTTTTTGATTTTTTTTTTTCCAATCCCTCTCTGATTTTTTTCTGCGTCACATCTGTTATATGTGCCATTTTGAAGCTTTGTAATTTTGGGAGGAAGAGTAATGGGAATTGAATAATGTGGGCAGTCACTGAGCTGTTACTATAACAATATTTGATCCATAGCCATTGGGATAAGACCATGCTATCAATTGTAGAAAGTAGCATTAGTAAAACATTTCATTTCTATGGCACTTTGGAGTTTACAATGTATTTTCTAATGTCCTGTCTAATTTGAATACAAAGAAAATATGAAGTGCAGAGAAATAACTGATTTTCTTTTTGTCTCATCACCAGGCTAGGTGTGACCCGGGTGTGCAGCCTCAGCTTGGTGATCTCACACATCATCAAAGCAGTTCTCTGCAGTACATTGAAGCACTTGTTGGGTACACAGAGTACCTGTTGTTAGGTTAAGCATTGTAGGAAGTTGTAAGAAAAGCAGCTTTGTATGGCCTTCGTGGCCATGTGTATGTAGTTCTGCCTAAGAGCAAAGTTAAATAAACTTGTAGCCAATATGACAACACAGCCTGATGACAGAAAAAAATTCCCCAGATAACCTTAAAACTCACCTAGAAGGAGCGAGGATTTGTGTAGTGTTCCGGATGTCCCTTTGTTTTCACCCCATTCCTACGCCCGCCCAGACTTACCTTTGCTGTCACTGGGGCTCTTTTGGAGGCTGGGAAGGATTTTAATCCTGTCTGGTCCTTTCCCAAGAATAGCAGTATGATTGAAAATGTGCCCACAAGCATAATCTCTGAATTGGTGGATTTAAAACAAAGTTGATGAGAGACTTCCAACGGCAAGTGTGTAAAAAGAAAATATCTCTTTAAAAGATGTTATTGATAATGAAAAGCTGAGACCCTTGATACTCTGCACACGGCTAGTATGGGCTTTATACAGATTCAGAGACATCCATGTGTGTCCTGCTTATTGGTCCTTAGGCTACTCCCGCCCGCAAAGTGTAGCGCTGTCTTGGTGGATCCTGCCGGAATGACACATCTTTTTGCTTTGGGATGATTGCTGGGTCCTGGGGTCTCTCTCCCTGCCTCTTCCCCAGCCCTACCCTATTGCACATTTTAGTGTGGCTTAGCTCTGTTGCCTTTGTGGTGGTTAACACTCAACCTCAGAGACAAAGATCTAAGCAGGAAGGAGGATCTATTGTGAACCGGTTGGAAGTTGATTTTTGACCCTAAGAAATTAGTTCACCTTATCATCAGATAGAGATGCTATTTGTACATTTCTCCCTCATACATGTACATTTACTCTCAAAATTTCCTGGGCTAGTAGGTCTCTCAAGGTGGCTGAGAGACCCTAGAAGGTACCAGTGTACCACTGGGCCGCATCCTTAAAGATGGTGCTGTGAGGGACAGCCATGGAGGCCCATGTGCGCCATTGCCCTTATCCCTTGGGGGCTCTCTGGATGAGGGCTTTCTCTGTCTTTGTCTTCTCTTGTCTTCGAGGTCCTTCTTACTCCCTTGTCCAATGTGTGACATCTTATCTTTTCCTCCATGAGCTCCATTTTTCTGTTCCAAATAGCTCTAGTCTGCTGGTATATTGTATTTGTTTTTTCTTTTCTTTTTTTTTTTTTTTTGACACAGAATTCCCACTGTCGCCCAGGCTGGAATGCAATGATGTGATCTCGGGTCACTGCAACCTCCGCCTCCCGGGTTCAAGCAATTCTCCTGCCTCAGCCTCCTGAGTAGCTGGGATTACAGGCGTGCGCCTCCACACCCAGCTAATTTTTGTATTTTTAGTAGAGACAGGGTTTCACTGTGTTGGTCAGGCCGGTCTCAAACTCCTGACCTGATGATCCATCTGCCTTGTCCTCCCAAAATGCTGGGATTACAGGCATGGGCCACCGCCCCCATCGTCTGCTGGTATATTATACTCCTTTCTCTTTGTTTAGTTAAATTATTTCTGCTTTGTTTTGATACATAACAGTGGTATATTAGTCTCAACCCTTTGGAACATTTTTAGGTCCCGATGCTATCATCCATTATGTTGAAGAGGACAGGTCAAAGGAAAGAGCCCTGTGGGACCTTCCCTGTGACCATTTAGGATTTAGAGTCATTTGGCCTGGAACTGTTATTTCCCAGCTACGAATCCACCTACCTGTCCCACCGGTCTGTGTCTCCAGCCTCCACTTCTACACATGGAAATCAGGAGAGGCTGCGTCTTAAATCCTTTTGGTAAAATCCAGACATTTATGACCTCTACCTCTCCCATAGTTTACCATGCCTGACCCACAGTAGAGTTCTTAAGAAATACTATTGTCTTTTCCCCATTTCTTATTTCCTGTTTAAATAAAATAAATTCAGTATTTGTCTTTCTAGTGTGTTGACATGTCTCCTATTCTCCCAAATTCCTCAAAGACCAGTGCAGCAATTTACCAATCTCATTTTCACATTCCTTCAGTGTAATAAGTGAATTAAAGCCAATTTATTATCCAGGATTGCCTCATTTATTTCAAAATAAGCTGTGTACCAAGAAAGCTCTATTCCCTCAGCAAGAGCTAACTCCAGTTTTAAAGCTCATTCTAGAGAAAAACAGACTTTTATAGTTTGTTTTAGCTATTAAAGACCCCTTTTAAAAAAGAAATAGGCCTTTGGATGTTGCCAGGGGTTAGAAAGCTAGTCCAGAGACTGAGAAGGTAAACAAAGAAGCAGGGGAAAAACTGATTTTGAGTGTTTAGAGTGTGTGAAATGTCACTTTTCCCCTTAACCTCTTCCTTAAGGAAAAGGAGAGATTGTTAAAGTAGTGTCTGGTCAGGGCGCACACATGTAGAAGGTTTCTGTAACTCTAGGGTAAAATACAGATCTGTTAAAATTTTCATGAGTTTCTTTTACTTGTCAGAAGTTGCCTACAGCTTAGATGATATTTTCCTGATAGTTTGTAAACTTCTATTGACTTCTCTGTTTTTCTATTCGCCCATACCCATTTATTTTCTCTTTACTGCATTTTACTGTCTTAGGAAGATAAAACAGAAAAGCAAAACAAAACAAAAACCCCAAAAAACTAAGTCTGAAGCAGACTGTTGAATAATATTACTTTAACTGATGAACAGATTTTCCTCCCACAAAGAAGGAAAAAGGGAGAAAATTCGTAGCTCTTCTCTCTTTTTAAAGACTGTGCTGGAAAATTCCAAAATGTTATCGGAATAAAGGAATGACTTCGGGGGCTCAGAACAACTCGGGGAAAGACACTAAAATTTATTGAGCATTTAACGTCACCTGCCAGAAATTTAAAATGTGTTTTTTAAAGAACAAACATTTCATGATTTTATTGTATCCTTACGACAGCCTTTCAGGGTATGGGGATTATCCCCATTTTACAGATGAGCAAACTGAGACCTGGAGAGGCTAAGTAACTTGTTACGGATCACCCAGGTGGGAACTGACCGAATTAAAATCCAACACTTCATGCCAGGTGCGGTGGCTCACGCCTGTAATCCAAGCACTTTGGGAGGCCAAGGCGGGTGGATCGCCTGAGGTCAGGAGTTTGAGACCAGCCTGACCAATATGGTGAAACCCTGTCTCTACTAATAATGCAAAAATTAGCCAGACATGGTGGCACATGCCTGTAATCCCAGCTACTCAGGAGGCTGACAGGAGGATCGCTTGAACCTGCGAGGTGGTGGTTGCAGTGAGCCAAGAGCGTGCCATTGCACTCCAGCCTGGAGTGCAAGACTGTGTCTCAAAGAAAAAAAAAACCAACCAAAAAACAACACTTTGATTTGCTGTAAGACCCTCTCTGTGAATATTAAACTGGTAAACCTCATACATAATGATGAGATTAGTCATCTACAGAAGTAACTCAGGGCTTGTCTGTAAACATCCTATGCTCCAAAGTGACTGCAGTGTAATCTCAGGAAGGCAAGACTGGAATGAGATCGTAAATAAAAAAATGGACATCTAATACATACATTGGTCTCGTCTGAAGAAAGACTGTTAACAGAGGGGGATGGTCAGTATGGAATTGTAAACAGGAGGTCAAAGAGGACGAATGTGTTATTTACACCCACCAGAACCCAGGGAAGTGTGGTGAGAAGCAGCAGGAACTCTTCTGTCTGCTCGGCAGGCGGGCAGCTCTGTGTGGCGGAGACATTTGCTTCCACTATTATGGTTGAAGTCAGCGGCCATAAGATCATCTATAGACTGAGAGAAGGCAGTGTGGACAAGGGCCTCAGAGCACAGGCTCTCTAGGGGAGCATGAGTTCATGTTCTCCAATCTTTCCAACTACCATGCATGGAAGATATTAGAATGAACTTTTCCCCAGATGAGAAAACAGGCATGGAGAAGTTACACTTGGGCAAGTCAAAGAGGGGTAGAGATAGGCTTAAGGCCAGTCTAAATTCAGAACTCTCTTGACTACGTTGCTCTATCTCTCTCTCTCTCTCTTTTTTTTCCTTGAGACGGAGTCTCACTCTGTTGCCCAGGCTGGAGTACAGTGGCCTGATCGGCTCACTGCAACTTCCGCCTCCCGAGTTCAAGCCATTCTCCTGCCTCAGCCTCCCAAGTAGCTGGGACTACAGGCGCCCGCCACCACGCCTGGCTAATTGTTTTTTATTTTTTTGTATTTTTAGTAGAGACAGGGTTTCACCGTGTTAGCCAGGATGGTCTCGATCTCCTGACCTCGTGATCCACCCGCCTCAGCCTCCCAAAGTGCTGGGATTACAGGCATGAGCCACCGCGCCCGGCCACGTTGCTCTGTCTCTTAATAGTCTTGTCATTCCTGGGATGCTGCCATTTGTTTTCTTTTCTAATGGATAGTGGATCATGAAGATGGGTTCACATGGGCGACTTGAATTCTAGAGAGCCAGGCAATGTCACAGCTTCCTGGCCAGTTTGTGCCTGTTGGGGGATTCCCCATCTTTGATGCCTTTGACTTCCAGTCCTTGAGGGACACTCACTTCCCTGGCAAGCACTGTCTTGGACTGCATGAGTGATTTTCTATTGGTTGGTTTCTGACCGGGCGGGCACTTAGCTCCATGCTGGTCTGTGCCTGGCTGAGATATCTAAGAGCAGCTCATTGCCATATTCTGAATCCCAGCCCTCAGGGGAGCAGCCAGCACCTCTGCTTCCTGCCTCCTCTGGCAGATGGCCCTGATCTGAGAGTTTAAGTGATAGCTATCTGAGAGGAGTGATTGGTAGAGACAGTAGCACCTTATTTTAATAATTTAAAAATCATAAAATATGCCACTTTGGATACAAAAGCTTTTAAGAGGCACTTAATAAAAATGTTTAGTTGCTTTCCACAATGAGAAAACATTGTTATAACTAAAGCACACTTCAGATATTTAAGCATTAAAGCATCCCCAGAGACTTATTCTTAACAGTAAAATGTATTGCTTTGTTCAAGATGATTCTGTAATGGAGAGGCATTACAGAGGCAAGAAGAGACGAGAATTCTTTGTAATTAGTGTGCACTGTTTGAATGTAAATGAGTACTTGAAAACAGTTTGCTCTCTTAAACATCCTAAGTTTTCCCACTGTCGTCTTCCATAAGGTATTAATTGGTTTAAACAGCCTCTTTATTTGTAGGCAGCACAAAGGTTAACTTCAGTCCAGCCCCTGTCTAGTTATCATCAACTCCAAATGCTAATGCTGTTTGAATTCATCAGACAGAATTGAGCTTTTTGTATGTAGTCATGGCCTCTTAAAACTTACAAGGCCAGGCGCAGTGGTTCATGCCTGTAATCCCAGCACTTTGGGAGGCCGAGGTGGATAGATTACCTAAGGTCAGGAGTTTGAGACCAGCCTGGCCAACATGGGGAAACCCCGTCTCTACTAAAAATACAGAAGTTAGCCGGGCATGGTGGTGCATGCCTGTAATCCCAGCTACTTGGGAGGCTGAGTCAGGAGAATTGCTTGAACACAGGGGGCGGAGGCTGTAGTGAGCCGAGATCGTGCCACTGCACTCCAGCCTGGGTGACAGAGTGAGACTCTTGTCAAAAAAACAAACAAACAAAAAACCAAAACTTGGAAAGTATATATAGTGTCTCTATATGAAATGAGACTAGAGAAATTTTATAAAAGAAGGGTCCTCAAGTATAGATAAAAGACAACTGTATTTTATTATAAATGCTTTCTTATATCTCAGACCCAGGTAAGTTACAGGTCATGCTCAGCACCTGCCCCCGTGCATATAGCAGCAGGTTGTTGTAACATCAGCTTATTGAGAATGTGGATCACTATAACATAGGAGTCGTGTTATGCTGTTCTTTTAATTCCCTCATACCAGTGCACTACATTCCAATACTAACATGTGGAAAAAAAATACTGAATATCCCCTTGTTTTTTAGTAAGACCATAGAGCAGAACATTTGCAATTTTATAATGGTTTTATTTTTAAGGTCAGGCATTTAAAGTGGCACAAAGCTTTGATGTGGGCTTACATCTGAGTATTATAAACATTTAGCACAAAGTAAGAACTTACTTAAAAGATGCTCCAGCTTCCAGTGTGCTGTTTCTGTGTGAAATACTGAAAATTTGGGATCATTTTAAAAATAAACACTTATCTAAGTTGGCATGCAAAATGGAGCATTTAGAAAGCCATGAAAATAAGCCCATGCATAAAATATGGCATTAAAAAGGTAACTGTGAACTTTACAGATGGACTAGCATGAAAGAAGCTGTCTTTTGCTAGGGTGGATACGAGAGTTTGCAGCTCTTTGCTGCAAAAAAATAAGAGCAGAAACTTAAGTTGTTTAGTTGTTTTGAAATAACAGCTACACAGAGGGCTCCTTCTGGTTCATCCATATTTTATTAGGGCAGCAGTTAAAAAATTCATTAGAGACACCCATCTGTAGCTAGCAGCACCCTTGAGGGGGGCTCAGATGGTGATCAGATTTTGGAGTAGCACTTTACACTAAAAGAAAAAGACAATCGTTTAGGAGAATTAATAGCACAATGGAGAGGGGCTGCTTGATGCATTTGAAGCATACCCTTCCACATGGTTTATGAATCTTTTGCTACTGAATTCCTCAGCCACCTGCTTCAGTTGGGAAAGAGAGATCCAGGCATAACAAGGAGAGAAAAATTGGATCAGAGAGTTGAGACTGTATTGGTCAGTGGAGAACATAGATAGAGTGTCTATGTGATCCGTGTTGGGCTCTCACTCGTGTGTGTTTGTGTGTGTGTGTGTGTGTGTAAATCACGTTGGCCTCCTGGGGAACTTCATCAGTACAAAAAAAAGCTTGTGGTCAGAGCTGAGGCTGCCCTGGTTTACCTTGGCCTTGAACTCCACCTCCCTGGTGGTCAGGTCCAGGTGCCTTTGCCTCATCTTTATTCATGAATTGAAAATAACTCTAGTTATTGAATGGCAATGGAGGGGAAGTGACCTCTCCTCTACCCTCCTAGATTCCCTAGCTGGGTCTATGAAATTGACAACAGATAGATTAACAGGAGAATAGGCATAGACATTTATTTTTTTTTTTTAGAAGGAGTTTTACTCTTGTTGCCCAGGCTGGAGTGCAATGGCACGATCTTGGCTCACTGCAACCTCCGCCTCCTGGGTTCAAGCGATTCTCCTGCCTCAGCCTCCCAAGTAGCTAGGATTACAAGTGCCCTCTGCCATCATACCCTGCTAATTTTTTGTACTTTTAGTAAAGACAGGGTTTCACCATGTTGGCCAGGCTGGTCTCGAACTCCTGACCTCAGGTAATCCGCCTTTCTTGGCCTCTCAAAGTGCTGGGATTACAGGCATGAGCCACTGTGCCCAGCCCATTTATTAATTTTTAATATTATGTGCATGGGGGGCATCACAGGAAAAAATAGTAAATACCCCAAAGAGCGGTGAGATTTGAGAGCTTATATACTGTTTTCATAGGGGAAGGGGAGGAGGATATAGGTTGTGATTTTTAGAAATGTGCTGTTAGAACAGCAGATGGAAGATAGGAGAGTTTGTGACAAAGTTTGTCTGGGTGTGGTGTCGACTCCTAGTTTCATCTCCTGCAATACAAATCTGTCTTCCCTGGTTGATGAAACTTCCAGGAAGGGAATTCATGACAACTGAGTTCCCTTTGGCACATCTGTTTTGGGCAGATAAAGGGAGTTTAGAGAAAACCTTTCCCTGCACTTGCTGTTTTTCAAGTGCCTTCAGCTCAAAATAATCAATATTCCAAAGCAGCATAGTTTGGAGTGGCTTATTTTGGTTTCCTTCAGTGACTCTGTGCCAGGCATGGTATAGCACGGTTAAAGTCATAATCTCATCTATCCTTCCAGCAATCCTAGGGGTGGAGTCCCATTTCACAGATGAGATAATGGAAGCAACAGAGAGGTTAGTCACCTGACCATGCTCACTCATAAGAGGCAGAGCTGAATTTCATCTTCTGCTATTAAGTCCAGGTCCATAAACTGTGTGCATATACATGTTTTTTTTAGATAAACTTTCTATTTTAGAATAATTATAGATTTATCGCAAAGCTGCAAAGACAGCACAAAGTTCCTTTCACCCAGCTTCCTCTAACGGTAAGGGCTTATATAATCATGGTGCATGTATTAAGACTCAAAAATGAATATTGGTGCAATGAACTAAACTACAGATCTTATTCAGATTTCACCAGTATCCTTTTCCTGTTCCCCGATCCAATCCAGGATCCCACACTGTATGTCACATGCATGGTTTTTGACCCTTAAACACGAAGTGGGCTGGATGTCAAACTGCTGGGTGGCCTGTTTCTCCTCATTACTGATGAAGAAAGTGAGACGCTGGTGCCATCTGTCACCTTCCTTGTGGGGCCCAGGACTCTCATTGTCTAATGGAAAGGGGAAATCCTATGTAGGGTAGAAGATTTAGAACAGAGGCATGGGGACAAATTTTAAATATAGACCATACTTTTTCTACTTGTAGTAGTTTGTAGCTAAAACCACATTCAAGAAATAGAAAAAGATTGGGGGAGAGAGAGTATTCTGCAAAGCAACAACCTCTCTAGCATCATTAAAGTTTATGATGCATTTGAATCCCAAGTGTACTAGGATGTTAAATAGGACTTTTCCTTAAAACAAAGCCTTCCAGTCCTGACTGCCTCCTAGAATCACCTGGATAGTGTCAAGAAGCACCAATACCGGAGGCCCATCCCTCGATGTTGTAATTTCATCAGTCTTGGTTGTGATCTGAACCTCAGAATTTTTAAAAGATACCACCATGATTTTTTTTTTTTTTTTTTGAGACAGAGTCTTGCTCTGTTGCCCAGGCTGGAGTGCAATGGCGTGACTGTGGCTCACTGCCGCCTTGCCTTCCCGGGATCAAGCTATCCTCCTGGGCACATCTAGGATGCATGTAATTTGCCTGTATTCTGTGACCAACCCTTCTGTGAACACCCCCTCTGTGACCAACCCCTCCTGGAATCCCAGTGTGGTTTCCTTGGATGGTTTCTGGTCACTTTTTTCGCAAGCCCTCTTCTTCTTTCAGGATTTACCTTCTTAGGCGGTCTCATTTAACCCTCCTGGCTTTCCCACTTGCATGGCATGTGTTTCCACCTCTCTGTGGCCCAGGTCCTGCCTTGGCCCTGTCCTCTCGGTCCCCACCTGGAAGCCACCCTGGGCCTATTCCCATCCTGTCTTCTGCCTCTTCCTCCACAGCTGCCACACTGTCTGTACCCAAGTCCCAGTGGTTCTGAACTTCTTCAAGCTGGCTGCACTCAACACTGCCTTTCACACTGTGCTTGCTGTTCTCTCCACCGGCAATGACCTCACCCTCCTTTTTGGCTTGGGAAGCCTCAGCCTTCCAGTTTACTTTCCTGGCCTCCTGCAGTGGAGTTGCTCACAGCCTGGTCTGCATCTGCTTGTTGACATGTCTGTCTTCCCCAGGGAGCCATGAGCTCCATTGAGGACAGGGACCATGACTTTGAAAAATTAATAATTAATTTTTAGAGATGGGGTTTTGCTAACTTGCCCAGGCTGGAGTGCAGTGGCTATTCATAGGAGGAATCATAGCTCATTGCAGCCCTGAACTCCTGGGCTCAAGTGATCCTCCCAGCTCAGTCTTCTGAGTAGCTGGGACTACGGGGGCATATATGCACCCAACTTGAAAAAGTATTATCAAATATTTCACGGTTATAAAAACTGTATTTATATATAATTATGTGTTTAATATATAATTACACATAGGTTTTACATGTGCTGTTTGAAAATAATACAATCAGTTCCTGTGTAACCACCACTTAAGAAATGGAACATTACCCTTGAATTACTATATAATTGCATGCATTTTTTCCTATGTATTGTTTGAGAATAATACAGTAGGCACCTGTGTAAATACCAGCAGGCTTAAAAATGGAACATTACCCTCGAGGTCCCTTGCACATCACGTCCTGTTCCCTGTTAAGACTGGTTTATCATTCTTTTGCTTTTGTTTATACTTTTAGCACGTATCTATCTCTTGTGCTAAAAGACTGTTACAAGCAGAACAGTCATTCCAGTTTTAGTGATTCTGGGCTGAGACTGTAGACAATTAAATAAAAAGCCAATTCAGTGTAGGATTCATGCCTTCCGACTGTGAGGCTGTTGTAAGGAAGTAGCGTTTGTGGGAATGCCACCCAGGAGTCAAATCTCTAGCCTTTGGGTGATCAGGAGGCTGACAGGAAAACAGCGACAGAGCTTTGCCTCTGGTGGAACTCCTGGTGGCCTGCAGACCTGTTGGCGTCTGTACCTGCAGTCCACTCAGCTTTCCAGATGACTGAAATGCCCCAACAGGGTAGAGTGGCTCGCCTCTCCAAGAAAGAGCAGTTGGTGAATAATCATGCCTGGGAAAACAATCCGCCTGGCAAAGAGATGGATGGTATCCGTTGGTGAATGTGATGGCAGCAAGCCCAGTGCAAGATTCTGTGGCGATTCCTTGATTGACCTGCTCGGTTGGTGGATTTTGAAAGGGAGTGGGAAGGACTGCTTCACTTGCGTAGAACTCTCCCTCTCTCTTGCGCTATCTTCATATCGATGTCTACCTTTCTCTTTGTGTATATGTGTTTATAAATATTTCATATGTATATTTGTGTACAGACATATACACATTTGGATTTATATTTGTATACATTTTATATTAGTCAGTTTTCATCCTGCTGATGAAGATATACCCGAGACTTGGAAGAAAAAGAGGCTTAATTAGACTTACAGTTCCACATGGCTGGGGAGGCCTCAAAATCATGGCAGGAGGTGAAAGGCACTTCTTTATTTTATCTTATTGTATTTTTTTTTTGAGACAGAGTCTCGCTCTGTTGCCCAGGCTGGAATGCAATGGCGTGATCTTGGCTCACTGCAACCTCTGCCTCCTGGGTTCAAGCGATTCTTCTGCCTCAGCCTCCCGAGTAGCTGGGACTGTAGGCGCCTGCCACCATGCCCAGCTAATTTTTGTATTTTTAGTAGAGACAGAGTTTCACCATATTGGCCAGGCTGGTCTCGAACTCCTGACCTCGTGATCTGCCTGCCTCGGCCTCCCAAAGAGCTGGGATTACAGGCATAAGCCACCACACCCGGACTGGCAAAAGGCACTTCTAACCCAAAAGTCCACAGTCCAAAGTCTCATCTGAGACAAGGCAATTCCCATCTGCCCATGAGCCTGTAAAATCAAAAGCAAGTTAGTTACTTCCTAGATACAATGGGGGTACCAGTATTGGGTAAATACAGCTGTTCCAAATAGGAGAAATTGGCCAAAACAAAGGGGTTACAGGGCCCATGCAAGTCCAAAATCCAGTGGGGCAGTCAAATTTTAAAACTCCAAAATGACCTCCAGATCTCACATCCAGGTCACACTGATCCAAGAGGTGGGTTCCCATGGTCTGGGGCAGCTCCACCCCTGTCGCTTTGCAGGGTACAGCCTCCCTCCCAGCTGCTTTCACAGGTTGGCACTGAGTGTCTGCAGCTTTTCCAGGTGGATAGTGCAAGCTGTAGGTGGATCTACCATCCTGGGGTCTGGAGGATGGTGGCCCTCTTCTCACAGCTCCACTAGGCGGTACCCCAGTAGGGACTCTGTGGGGGCTCCAACCCCATATTTCCCTTCCTCTGCCCTAGCAGAGATTCTCCATGAGTGCCCAGCACCTGCAACAAACTTCTGCCTGGGCATCCAGCCGTTTCCATACGTGTTCTGAAATCTAGGTGGTGGTTCCCAAACCCCAGTTCTTGACTTCTGTGCACTTGCAGGCTCAACACCAAGTGGAAGCTGCCAAGGCTTAGGGCTTGGACCCTCTGAAGCCACGGCCCGAGCTCTATGTTGGCCCCTTTCAGCCATGGCTGGAGCAGCTGGGACACAGGGTACTAAGTCCCCATGCACACAGCATGGGGACCCTGGGCCCGGCCCACAAAACCTTTTTTTCCTCCTGGGCCTCCAGGCCTGTGATGGGAGGGGCTGTTGTGAAGACCTTTGACATGCCGAGGAGATGTCTTCCCCATTGTCCTGGGGCTTAACATTTGGCTTGTTGTTACTTATGCAAATTCCTGCAGCTGGCTTGAATTTCTCCTCAGAAAATGGGTTTTTCTTTTCTGTCACATTGTTATGCTGCAAATTTTCTGAACTTTTATGTTCTGCTTCCCTTATATATCTGAATGCCTTTAACAGCACCCATGTCACCTCTTGAAGGCTTTGCTGCTTGGAAATTTCTTCCGCCAGATACCCTAAATCATCCCTCTCAAGTTCAAAGTTCCACAAATCTCTAGGGCAGGGGCAAAATGCTGCCCATCTCTTTGCTAAAACATAACAAGAGTCACCTTTGCTCCAGTTCCCAACAAGTTCCTCATCTCCATCTGAGACCACCTCAGCCTGGACCTTATTGTTCCTATCACTATCAGGCTTTTGGTCAAAGCCATTCAACAAGTCTCTAGGGAGTTCCAAACTTTCTCACATTTTCCTGTCTTCTTCTGAGCCCTCCAGACTGTTCCAGCCTCTGCCTATTACCCAGTTCCAAAGTTGCTTCCACATTTTTGGGTATCTTTTCAGGAATGCCCCACTCTACTGGTACCAATTTACTGTATTAGTCCATTTTTATGCTGCTGATAATGACATACCTGAGACTGGGAAGAAAAAGAGGTTTAATTGGACTTACAGTTCCACATGGCTGGGGAGGCCTCAGAATCATGGCGGGAGGTGAAAGACACTTCTTACATGGTGGCAGCAAGAGAAAATGAGGAAGAAGCAAAAGCAGAAGCCCTTGATAAACCCATCAGATCTCATGAGACTTACTCACTACCATGAGAACAGTATGGGGGAAATTGCCCCCATCATTCCATTGATGTCCCACTAGGTCCCCTCCCACACAACATGGGAATTATAGGAGTACAATTCAAGATGAGATTTGGGTGGGGACACAGCCAAACCGTATAAGATTTGTATTATTTTTATATCACGCATGTGTGCTCCCCCAACAGTGTTCCTTCATGCACATGGATGGTGGTGTTGAAAATGCACTTTCTGTTGGACTTCCAATTTTAGGCCAAGCTTAGGCCCAGGTTGTTGAATTAATAATGAATAAATCTAGATAAAAATAGAATGGTGGTTACCAGGGACTGGGGCAGGGGGAAATGGGGAGTTAATATTCAATGGGTACCATGTTTCAGTTTGGGAAGGTGAAACAGTTCTTCAGGTGCATGATGGTGATGATTGTACAACAATGTGAATGTACTTAATGCCACTGAATGATACATTGAAACACGGTAAAAATGGTAATTTTATGTTACGTATATGTTACCACAATTAAAGAAAAGTAAAAAAAAAAATCATAGGGAAAATTCAATGGAAGCCTCAGGAAATGGTAGGGGAGGTCAATTCCAAAACCACATACATTCTAAAATGTCAGAAATGGTCAGTTAGCAAAGTAAGGATTAATTAGATTTTACACTTGTATGTCTTTGTTGACATTTCTGGGAATAAAGAGAGAAGAGTGTGATAATTCCTCTTCTATGTCAGTTCTAGAACCTTCTCTTTGTTCCTTACCCTGGTGCTTGTATGAGTATGTACAAATGTGTGTGTGTGTGTGTTGTGTTTGCAAACATGGACAATGGCGTGTGGGTTTGCTACTCTATTTCTAGTATTTCTGTGCCACCTTATTAATAGGAGAGCTGTGGGATCAGGCCTCTGGATGTAACCCTGTCCTTCCTTAGTGCTTCTGAGTTCAAACTGACTAACTCACAAAATGCGTCTGCATCGGGACTGACTTGTGGCATTCATTTTCTCAAAGGGCAAAAAACCTTTTGTTTCTGGTAGAAATTAAAGATGTGTTTGTGACGGCCCTCACTTCTTTTTCACCAAATGCAGCACCCTTCTTCCCTTTAATCCGATGAGGTGGTTTTATGGGGTGGCACATAACTTGGAGCTCATGGGAGGCCTTAGAACCATTAACCAACTGAGCTAACCAGGTTCCTCCATTAGTTTAATTTCAAATTGAATTCTCCTTCCTCCATGATTGAAAGAGTACATTCAATTCCTGTAACAGTTTTTATATGCCTGACTGACATCCCTTCCTAAAGCATAAGCAGTTTGAGGGCAGGGATGGTGTCTTGTTTATGTCTGTACCCCATGTATCATCTAGTGTTCAATAAGGAATTGTTTTATGGAAATGGATTACATGATTAAATTGGAAATAGAATACAGGTTGATTTATTCCACCCCCAGCTTGCCTTGCTCACTGGATGCTTATTACAGTGACCTGAAGGCACTTCAGAAGACTTAAGTGCTCTCTGAATTATTGAAGGAAGATGGACTTTGGCTCAGTAGAGTGTTTGTGCTTAGTGCCTATTACTGGATTCTGATTCTTTGGAAACAAATTAATCCAGAGGGATATATTGTTTCTTTATGGTTCTGAATATTTGGTTAGCCTGAATGTATTAAGATCTTACACCCCAACCATGACAGATGGGATTAAAATTCCTTCCCTGAAAAGAATATATTCCTTTATGCTTCCACTATAAATTTATATGCAAGTCATGTTTTGTAAAGTCGTGTTCTTCTCTTGCTATTTGGTGCATTCCCTGCAGCATTCTCGAGGTCCCAGCATTTTCCCTTCAGGAGACCTTAGAATTATTGGGGTACGGGGCAGCCAAGTGACCTGCCCAAGCCCACGTGTCTTTTTTTTTTGTTGTTTTTTTGAGACAAGAGTCTTGCTCTGTCACCCAGACTGGAGTGCAGTGGTGTGGTCTCGGCTCACTGCAACCTCCGTCTCCCAGGTTCCAGTGATTCTCCTGCCTCAGCCTCCCGAGTAGCTGGGATTACAGGTGTGCACCACCACGCCAGGCTAATTTTTGTATTTTTAGTAGAGATGGGGCCTCGCCATGTTGCCCAGGCTGGTCTTGAACTCCTGACCTCAAGTGATCCACCCACCTCCGCCTCCCAAAGTGCTGGGATTACAGGCATGAGCCACTGCTCCAGGAAAAAAACTGAGTATCATGTTTTCTTAAACTGCATGTTTAAGATTTCATATTTAAAAATGAATATTGTCTGGCCAATGTGTATTTTAATTTCTTCTCTGATATACTGTAAACTAGGATTGTTTTAGGAATTATAAGGACCTCAGGAAACTTCTGTGTAGTATAAACTGGAAACAATTCATATCCACCACAGAAAATAATTAACAGTGCTGGGTGTTAACAATACTTAGGGGGGAATGAGTGATGGAGGGAATGAGTGATATGGACAATTGGTGAAGCCCTGTTGACTGGGTGATCAGGAGAAGGGAGCTGATGGGGGAGGGATTGGAAGCTGAAGGCTGAGAAGGATTTGGATAGATGAAGGGAGAACATAAGAGGGAGGGCTGACAGGATTCTTGCTGATCCGGCTGGTTAATATTGGCTTGCCGCAATTTTCCTTCTAAGCTAGGTAAACATATATTTCCAGGCATCCTATTTGGACTGTGTATAGAGACCCATTGACATCTGGGTCTGTTCTAAGCTGCTTTCACTTCCCTCCAATCAGAGCTTGTTGGGCTCAATAAGGTGGAGATGGGGGTCATATATTACCAGGGCAAGCAGGTCTGTGCTTCAGAGAGGAAGTAAGGCATCAGCGCTTCCCTCTAGAATTGATCTGTTGCGGAACAAGAGTCCTCGAGCAGCAGAGAAAGCTGCGCCAGGCTCCCTTTCCCTGCTCAGTCGTTCGTTCCTGGACTAGATGGGTGGAACGAGGCATCTCTGGGTTTCACAGAGCACAGAGGGCACGGCTTGTTTCCTAACCGGGTCTCAAAACCTGCCTGCACTTTGGGCTTTTTCTTCACCTTGCCATATGTTGCTTCCTGCCCTTTTGAACCTCCTTCCGGAGCTGATTGCACTTATGTGCTAGGAAAGGAGTATTTGTCTTCAAGGTCTGAATGCATCCTAATCCTTATTGAACTGCAAGGTGTGATGGCACGACTTGGATATGTAAGTGAGAATTGATTCTGGTCACAGGGGATGTCATAAGTTTCCTCAAAAAATAAAAAAGAGGAAAAAAATAGTGAGAAAAAATGGCCTTTCGTTATGGGAAACTGGGAGTTTTTCCTACAGATTTCATTCTTGCCTTATATGGGTTTCCTGGAATTCTTCTAGCAGATTCCAGCAGTGCCCTCCGGATCTGCCCTCTGCCCTCTGAGGGTTAGGATTCATAGTGTGTGACAGTCTTTGCTATTCAGGCCACCTTCTGGGAAGGCCAGTGGCCAGGGGATGGTTTTCATGAGCCCTCAGCAGGGTGCAGAAGCCAGGTGGTTCCCATATCTCATTCCCACTTTTGGTAAACACCTCTCTTATGTTTGCCCTCCTGGGCTTGTTGCTTCTGGTCCCCGGCTCATCACAGCTTCCCAGGGCCCCGGTAGAAACAAGGGTTCACAGTGGGTAACCTCACTGTGCTGCAACTGGAACCTGGCTTGCAGGATTTCAGGACCTTTGGTTGAGTGGTTTTAGAAAAGGCTACTCAGGGGCTGGGCGCGGTGGCTGTGGCTCACAACTGTAATGCCAGCACTTTGAGAGGCCTAGGCGGGGGGATCACCTGAGATCAGGAGTTCGAGACCAGCCTGGCCAATATGGTGAAACCCCCTCTCTACTAAAAATACAAAAATTAGCTGGGCGTGGTGGCAGGCACCCGCAATCCCAGCTACTTGGGAGGCTGAGGCAGGAGAATCACTTGAACCTGGGAGGTGGAGGTTGCAGTGGGGTGAGATTGTGCCACTGCACTCCAGCCTGGGCAACAGGAGCGAGACTGTCTCAAAAAAAAAACAGAAAGAATAAAGAAAAAAAGAAAAGGCTATTCAGGCTGAAGTGCCCTCAGGCCTTGGAAAAGAAATGAAATTTCAAACAAATTATTTTCTACCTAGCCTTTTTCTTTTAACTTCAGAAGGGTTATCTGGATGACTGGTATTTACATACAAAAAATAGTTAAAAGTCTTTTTAAACCACAGACAGTATAGGTTTCACTGGACTCATTTTTCAAGATACGAAATTGTTGAATTGTTTTCCTTTGGTAATTGAAGCCAGAATTCAGTGTTTTCTCTAACTTCTTTTCGGATTCTTTGCTCTCTGGAGAACGTTTTGCCTGCTTTGCAAGGGGGTATGAGTAGTGCGTGTGCCTGAGGGCCTCTCTCTGCCCCCTCCTAACGCCTGGCCACCCTGTTCCGACTGCTGCCCCTGCCGGTCGGGCCCGGACACTGCAGGGAGCCTCACATCCTCGGATGACGGATTCCTTCTGTACATCTCATCACATCCTTTTCTACTGGCTTCAACTTGCATGGCCTCTGTCTTGAAGAAAGAAAGAAAAAAATGAAATGTTTCTTCTGCCTTCCTGTCATTTTACGCATTTTACGCTGATATACTTGTAGGCAAAGGGAATTGAAAGGGCATGCACTTTGGAACGAGACAAGCCTCAGTTCAAATCCGGGCTTTGGGAAACCATGATCCGGGAGTTCTGGGGCAAAGTAAGGCTTTCTGAGCTTTAGCTGTATTATTGGTAAAATGGGAATAGTACCGATCTCCTAGGGTTATAGTGTTAAATGCCTCCCTTCCTTTCTTTACTCTGACTTCTTCCACCACCACCTCATGGTCCCTGCTTCCATTCCTCCCTTCCTTGCAAGCTTCCGGAATTCTTTGTACCCCGGGCAGCAATAGCCCTTTTGGAGCTCCCCGCAATTGGCAAGAGCAAGTCACTGTGTGAGCAAGTCTTGGGCTCTGTTATCTTCAGATGCTCAAGTCAGGAAATAGGGGGCTAGAGGTCATTGTGCTCATTTCCCCAGAGATTATCAATGCCACCCCCACCCCTTTTAGGAGATGGCATGTGCCATGATCGTAGCTCAGTGGGATCCTTAATGCCTAGTGATCTCGGCTTAACAGGACAAAGATTCCAAGCCCATGTCTGTTCTGGGAAGCAAAGCAGGATGTGTGGGCCTGGAGTGAAGTTTGTTCCATTTCTCGCCATAGGCCATGGTATGATTACAGCTGTGCCTAGTGCTGCCTAGTTTTACTTTCATGCCTGATTTGCAATGTGGCAGGGTCCTGAGATGAGAGCTCTGTGTGGGCCAGTAGAGTCAAGAGACTTTGTCCTGGTCACTTGGCTACTTGCAGGGGGTTCTGGAAAGTCAAGTTCTCTGAATCTCAGTTGCCTTTAATATAAAAGGAAAGCTATAGTTTCGGGTCGGATTGATTCACATGGTTTTGGTCGGGAGTGAATGAAATTAATGTAAATTAAAACACATTATGAGTAGCAAAGTGCTATGCAATCTAAAAATAATAACATTTTAATCACTCTTATCATCATATGTGCCAGGCACTGTTCTAAGCTGTCTACAAATAGTAACTCATTTAGTTGAATGCTCACAACCACCTTATGAGAGAGCTACTGTTAATATCACCACTTTACTGATGGGGAAACTGAGGCACAGAGAGGTTAAGTAACTTGTGGAAGGTCACACAACCAGCAAGTGGTACAATCAGGGTTTGAACCAGTCAATGAGGAGTCAGCATTTGTTATTGTTCCTATTCCTATAGCATAGCTGGGAAGGGAATGCAATGCTGGTTTGGAGAACACATCAAGCAGGCCTCCTGTCATCCACTGAGTGAGATGAGATGATGGCCATACATTGCGGCACAGCCAGCTATCCATGGTCTGCAGCAACAGATCAGTCTTGCAGGGACATGGATAGCTCCGCTAGTGAACATTCACATGTTCAACGAATAGCTAGAGTAAATAGTTGGATCTCATTTAGAGGCATGCTCTGGCATTCCTCTTTCACGTCATTTGCTTTCCAGGCCCACTCCAGGATGAGAGTACTGAGGTGCCATAAAAGACCAACAGGCAAGATGTTGGAGGGTTCAGGAGCTGCCAAGGTTGTGTTCATGCTGACCTGTTGGCATAGCGTACAGCAGTGCCAGCTGCTCTGCTAAACCGAGGAGCTGAGATGCTGTGTTGATTTCTACATGTTCCAGGCAAATACTTCCTGAGGATTGTCAGGATTTACATAATGGATTGGCCCTGGGACCACTGAGCCAGCATCTATCTTTGACAGGTGTACTGAGAGATGACCTTTAAACCTAGGGATGTTCTCCAGATGCAGTTCCAGCTGGGCCAGTAAGATCTGCATGTTTATGGTGCTGTTTTTTCTTTTCTTCCCAGGCAGCCGGGATTGCTTACCACCTGCAGCGTGCTTTCGGAGGCGGCGGCTGGCACGGAGGCCGGGCTACATGAGAAGCTCGACAGGGCCTGGGATCGGGTTCCTTTCCCCAGCAGTGGGCACACTGTTCCGGTTCCCAGGAGGGGTGTCTGGCGAGGAGTCCCACCACTCGGAGTCCAGGGCCAGACAGTGTGGCCTTGACTCGAGAGGCCTCTTGGTCCGGAGCCCTGTTTCCAAGAGTGCAGCAGCCCCTACTGTGACCTCTGTGAGAGGAACCTCGGCGCACTTTGGGATTCAGCTCAGAGGTGGCACCAGATTGCCTGACAGGCTTAGCTGGCCGTGTGGCCCTGGGAGTGCTGGGTGGCAGCAAGAGTTTGCAGCCATGGATAGTTCTGAGACCCTGGACGCCAGCTGGGAGGCAGCCTGCAGCGATGGAGCAAGGCGTGTCCGGGCAGCAGGCTCTCTGCCATCAGCAGAGTTGAGTAGCAACAGCTGCAGCCCTGGCTGTGGCCCTGAGGTCCCCCCAACCCCTCCTGGCTCTCACAGTGCCTTTACCTCAAGCTTTAGCTTTATTCGGCTCTCGCTTGGCTCTGCCGGGGAACGTGGAGAAGCAGAAGGCTGCCCACCATCCAGAGAGGCTGAGTCCCATTGCCAGAGCCCCCAGGAGATGGGAGCCAAAGCTGCCAGCTTGGACGGGCCTCACGAGGACCCGCGATGTCTCTCTCGGCCCTTCAGTCTCTTGGCTACACGGGTCTCTGCAGACTTGGCCCAGGCCGCAAGGAACAGCTCCAGGCCAGAGCGTGACATGCATTCTTTACCAGACATGGACCCTGGCTCCTCCAGTTCTCTGGATCCCTCACTGGCTGGCTGTGGTGGTGATGGGAGCAGCGGCTCAGGGGATGCCCACTCTTGGGACACCCTGCTCAGGAAATGGGAGCCAGTGCTGCGGGACTGCCTGCTGAGAAACCGGAGGCAGATGGAGGTCAGTGTCTCTTCCACCTCTGTGGCCCGAGATTGTCGTGAGCTCAGATTAGCACTGGGCAGACGGCAGGAAACGAGGGGTTCTGGGCTCAACTGACTTCCTCCTGGAAGCTGCAGCAGCTCCTTTTGGAGCCGGCTGCACAGGATGTTGCTGCACTTCTGTCTCTTTGAATTGGACACAGATCTACTCTCCTTTTTGTCTTCTCTGTCACTTAGGTGCTCAGATTTGCTCTCCATTGGGCCGCAGGCTCCTCTGCAGGCCCCGGCTTAGGTGAGACGTGGTTCATGCAGCCCAGCTCTGCTTTGAGACAGGAAACTGGGGGCAGGGGAGATTGAGCTGGGTGATGTTTGGAAGGACTTGAGAGATACAAAAATGGGGATGCCCTCTATCAGGGCGATCCTGCTCTTCATCCGCTTCACTCATTCCCTTCCATCCTGCTGCAGTGGCTGCTGCCTTCCACAGGGTCGGGAGACTTCGCTTCTGGTCATTGAACCTCTTTGGCTCTCAGTTTCCGTATTTAGAGATAACACCAACTCATAGGATTGTTCTAAGGCTCAAATGAGAATGTAGCTGCTTTGGAAATAAGTACAAACTGGAGACATCTAAGGCCCAGCCTTATGATGATGCTGTCCATCCAGTTATCTGAGAGGTGGGTATAGCCGGAAGTAGGTAGGGTTCCTCTACCCACAAAAGTTCCCAGAGAAGCCCAGGTAGAGATGCTCTGTGGCTCATCTGTTGCCAGACTGTATTTTAATCCTGGTGTGTGTGTGCATATGTGTTTGTGTGTGTATGTGTGTGCATGTAGGTGTGCCTGTGTGTGCGTGTGTGTGTGTGCATGTTTGTGCTGTGTGTTCATGTGTGTGTGTGCATGCATGTGCGAGTGTATTTGTGTGTGTGCACTCATGTGTTTCTGCGTGTGGTGTGTGGATATGTTCATGTGGGTAGGGAAGTGGAGCACCCACTCATCAGGCATTTGGGAGGAGTAATCTGCAGAAGTTCATGCTCATTCCCCGAAAGAGCATCTCCCATCTGTTCTTTATCTATAGTCTGATGTTTCTAGCCCTGTCCCTGTTTGCCCTGTTTCAGCCCTCAGGGACCTCAGCCCAGCCCTCTGATTTATTATGCAGAGAGGGAGTGAGGTCAGAGCACAGATGCAGGCTTGTATTCTGGGTGATGTGTGGAGTCTTCCAGTTAGTCATTGCCTAAACCAGTGCCCCTTGTCTTTCCCCGAAACCCGTTCTGAAGGGCCTCCAATATTGGTTGATTTGAATGCATAGAATCTATCCAGTTTCTTAGGCCAGAAACCACAACCATCTTCCACACCTCCCTCTCCCTTGTTCCACATCTGGCTGGCCTCCAAGCCCTCTCAGTCCTACTGCTAATCTGTCTCTCATCACCATGGCCGCTGCCCTGGCTCAGATCCTTGTTATCTTTCACCTGGGTTTTGCAAGAGGGTCTACCTTCCTGCGGTGTTTCTCTTCTCCAGTTAATTAAACTAAATGTGATCATATGTGCAAAGTGCTTCAGACAGGGCCTGGCATCTAGCAAGTACCCAGAAATTAACCATTGTCATCATTAGAGAAATAGCTCCAATTTAGAGAGTTTGAGTCAAAAGCAAATGAAGCTCTCCCTTCTGTCCATAGCTCAAATTAAATTCCTATCTTATCTCAAATGGTAGAATCTGGACACACTTTTTCTTTAGTGTAAGTATTGTTGTCTATGGCAGTCCCACAGCTGGGCAGGGAAAAACATGACACTCTCTTCAATTACACTCATGTACTGCATAATGACATTTTGGCCAATGACGGATCACATATATGATGTGACAGTGGTCCTGTGAGATTATCGTACTGTGTTTTTGTTGTACCCTTTCTATGTTCAGATATGTTTAGATACAACAATACCTTACCATTGTGTGACACTTGTCTGCAGTATTCAGTACAGTCACATGCTGCACAGGTTTGTAGCCAAGGAGCAATAGACTATTCCATCTAGCCTAGGTGTGTAATGGGCTACACCATCCAGATTTGTGTAAGCACACTCTACGATGTTCACACAATGATGAAGTCACCTAATAATGCATTTCTCAGAATGCATCCCTGTCATTAAGTAACGCTAGGCTGTACTTGAGTATCTGTTGTGTGACAGCGGAATTAACAGAGTAGTGGGAATGACAGAAATAACACAGTCCAGGGCATAGGACTTACAGGAAGGCAGAGTTTGCCTCAATAGGAGGAAGAACCTCTTGACAGTGGGAATTGTCTGTGATGAGGTGGGCTGGTCAGGGACTTGTTTTCCCATGGTGCTTACACAGAGGCCCCAGACTGCTCACTGGGGTTGCGGCTGAGGCCTTCGGGACAGGGCAGAAGGTCGGTGAAGGATCTCCAAAAAGATCCTTTGAAAGAGTAGGATTTCTAGTGTTTGGGGGCCTTATTGATATTATATTTTAATTCCTTAACCTCCTCTCGCTTCTACTTAAGTAAAAATGAGAATCTCAGGAATTTAAGTTTCAGCTTCTTCTAAAAGATGGTTGATCCTCAGTGTTTGTGGATTCTATATGTGTGAATTCGTCTACTTGCTAAAATTTGTTGTTAACTCCAAAATCAGTACTCACAGCACTTTTATGGTCATTTTTCATTTTTATTTTATTTTTTAAGAGACGGGGTCTCTGTCTTCCAGGCTGGGGTGCAGTGGTGTGATCATAACTCACTGCAACCTTGAACTCCTGGGCTCAAGCGATTCTCTTGCCTCAGCCTCCCTAGTGGCTGGGACTACAGGCGCATGCCACCATGCCTGGCTAATTTTTTTTTTTTTTTTTTTTTGGGTAGAGATGAGGGTCTTGCCACGTTGCCCAAACTGGTCTTGAACTCTTGGCCTCAAATGATCCTCCTGCCTCAGCCTCCAAGGTACTGGGATTACAGGCATGAGCCACCATGCCTGGTGGTAATTTTGAACCTGCACAGAGTGGCAAAATATTTGGGTCACCTGATGTACACGCTTTCTACTTAGGTCAAACAAGTTCAGACCAGATGACATTCTACCTTCTCTCTCATACTACAAACTAGTATCCTTTTTGTGGTCTATTTAATGCCATCTTTTTTTACATTTTTGTGCTCTTTATTGGTGAGTTAACCATTGCAAAAGCTCCCTAAGCATAGTGCTAATGTCATCTAGTGCTCCTAAGCATGAGAAGGCTGTGATGGGCCTGATGGAGAAGATACAGGTGCTCCAGAAACTTTATTCAGGCATGAGTTAGAGTGCTGTTGGCCAGAGTACAATGCTTATGGATCAATAATACATATTAAATAAGATGTTTTTAAACAGAAACACACATAGAACAAGGTCATGTGTTGACCGATGGAGGAAGGTGTTGTGACCAGGGGTTCACAGGAACCTACCCTGTATTTCTCTTAGGAGCAATGCTTCATTATTCCCTAATTCAGTATTCACAGAAACTTTATAGAACATAACTACAGTACTGTGAATAAGGAGAATCGACTGTGAATATTTTATGCTGTTTAGAAATCGCTGCTTAGCGAGATTTCCAGGGGTTGCATGGGACTGAGAAGATGGTAATAAAGGTAGTTGGTGACCAGGCATGCAGAGGAGGGGAAGTGGAGTGGGCCCTGCAAGGTAGGCTCCACCTAAGGCCATGGAAACTGGTGAAAAATGAAGGACTCTGCCTGTAGAGTATTATAGGACGTTCCACAGGCAGGGTTGTGGCACAGTGCAAGACATGGCCACTGGGGCTGTGCCTCCAGCAAAGACGGGTATTCAGACATATCTCAGGGCAGTCCATTCAGGGCCTTATAGAGATCACTGGACGAGGTGGGCATCGTGGGGTGGGCTTTGGCTGTAAATGAATTTTTTTCCTGACCTTGTTTCCTGCATTTCTTCAGCTTCTGTTCTAATAAATGTTTAATGATACCATCATTTGGGTGTGGCGATGGTAATGCTATAGCTTTATGTGGCCCTCAAACCATTCACACAGCCTTTCTTCTGTCCCTAATATATAGGACTAAGTTACTGGTAAACTTTGCAGTTGTAATATAGAACAATTCAAAGACAAAGGGGTTAATATGATTATTCATTCATTCTTTCATTCATTCAGAAAGCATTTATCAATGACAACGAGTACAATGCCTTATCCTAGGCTTTGGAGATTGTATTAGGACAGGCTAGTAACAGGCACTACGTTAGAGGCTCAACACAACAAAATTGTGTTTTTTGCGTATGCTTCATGTTCCACAGAGATTTTTGGGGGGCAAGAACCCAGCCTGCACCATCTGAACATATGATCCCCTTAGTCACAGACTTGAGGAAGAGAATGTTAGGGAGTCCTACAAGAGCGATCAAATGCTTCAGCGTAGAGGTAACCCCATCACTGCCACTCATACCCTGTTCAGCAGAACAAGGAGAGAGGCACTTGTACTCTTTCCATGTGCCCAAAGCAGTGGAAAATCAAGTCAGTGTAAGTACTAGCATCCTATACATGGATGCAAAATAGTTCTTGCCCCCCAGATGCTCAAGGTTGAATGATGTGCACAGATAAAACCAAACAAAGGAAAATGATGGCTATAACCTGGTGCAATAAGTACTCCATTCTTCCAGTGGGTCAGAAAAAAAAACCCAAAAAACAAAAAACAAAACAAACCTTGGCATCATCCTGGTGCATTTTCCTCAGACCCCACCTGTGATGTATTAGCAAATCCTGTTGGCTCTATATTTAACCAGCGGTCTTCTGAATATAACCGGAATCAGATCACATCTCACCATCTTCACCATTGCCACCATCCTCACTATCATCCAAGCTCCTGTCATCTCCTTCCTGAATGTTCCCATAGCCTCTTACCTGGCCTCCCTTCTTCTGCTCTTACTAACAGCAGCCAGAGTGAAACTGTTTAAAACATAAGTCAGATCATGTGCTCCTCTGCCCCAAACTCTCCAGTGGCGCCCCATGAACTTCAGAGTAAAATCAGAACTTTTAAATGGTCTTCATGTCTCTTCTTGACACAGTCCTCATTACCTGTGTGACCTCATTCTCTACAGTTTTCCCTTACATCAATCTGCCCCAGATCCAGTGGCATTCTTGCTCCCTCTTGCTTTTCATTTCACTTTCACTTCTTGCTTTCTTACCAGAAACACTTCTGCCTGAGCCTTTGTACTGGCTCTTCCCTCTGTGGGAATATTTTTCTCCCAGACAGCCTCGTGGTTCACTCCCTTACCACTTTTAAATCTTTGTGTAAATGTCACCATCTCAAGGAGATCAGATTTCAAATTGCAACCTCTACCCTCTACCAGCATCCCTGATCCCCATAACGTGGTTCTCCCTTTTCCTTTTTCATAGCATTAATCACTTGCTAAGGTGCCATAAAACTTACAGTTGACCCTTGAACAACACGGGTTTGAGCTGCAAGGGTCACTTATATGCAGATTCTCTTCCACCTCTGCCACCTCTGAGACAGCAAGAACAACCTCTCTTCCTCCTCCTCCTCAGCCTACTCAAGATGAAGATGATCCACTTTCACTTAATGAATAGGAAATTTATTTTCTGTTTTTTATGATGTTTTTCGTCATCTAGTCAATGCTGAATTTTTTTCTCAATGATTTTTAAATAACATTTTCTTTTTTCCACTTTACTTTTATTGTAAGAATGCATATATAATACATATAACAAACAAAATATGTGTTAATCAACTGTTTATGTTTTTGGTAAGGTCTCTGGTCAACAGTAGACTATTAGTAGTTAAGTTTTGGGGAAGTCAAAAGTTATACACAGATTTTCAACTGTATAGGGCCGGGGTTGGTTCCCATAATCCCCGTTGTTCAAGGGCCGACTGTATTATGTTTTTGCCTAGAATGTAAGTCTGGAGGGCTAAGCATTTTATGATGTATCCTTGTTACATCAACACAATACAAACAGGGCCTGATAACTAAGAGGCACTCAGTAAATATTTGTTGAATGGGTCTATGAATAGAAGAAGCAAGTACAGGTCACAATGGAGGTATAGAGGAGGGACATTTAACACAGACTGGAGGAGACGACACTTGTGCTAGGGGTTGAAGGAAATGTAGGTGTGAGCCAGGCAAAGAATGGGAGGAAGATGTTTTTCAGGGATCAAGCCCAAATCCATTCATTGGTAGGCCAAGAATTCATTGTCAGTAAATCTTTGGGTCTCCTGTTGAGAAGAACAATGATTGTATTAGTCAGTTCTCATGCTGCTAATAAAGACGTACCCAAGTCTGGGTAATTTATAAAGAAAAAGAGGTTTAACGGACTCACAGTTCTACATGGCTGGGGAAGCCTCACAATCATGGTGGAAGGCAAAGGAGGAGAAAGGCACATCTTACACAGTGGCAGGCAAGAGGGCGCTTGTGCAGGGGAACTCCCTTTTATAAAACCATCAGATCTCATGAGACATATTCATTATCATGAGAACAGCATGGGAAAGACCCACCCCCATGATTCAATTACCTCCCACGACATGCGGGAATTATGGGAGCTACAATTCAAGATGAGATTTGGGTGGGGACACAGCCAAACCATATCAATGATGCTAAATCAACCCATTGGTAACACTCAGAGAAGTAACTGGATCACTGAGTCTCCATGTGGGTTAAATAAGACTGCCCTTTTCTGTAATGGAAAATATTTGAACCTTAGGGCTTCTCAGAAGGGTTTTGTGAGAGCTTTGCCATCATTCTTACTCAAGCCTTCAGGACAGCCTGCTGAGCTTAAGTTCATGCTCTTTTTCTCTTGGTTTCTCTGCCAATTTTGGTGTGTTTACCTTCATAATTTAAATGTGAGGTTTAGAACAGAGACCATTTGGTCAGGAAATTTGTATTCCTTCTCATTATGCATTTCTTCATGCAGATGAGGGCACAGTGTGATGTTTTTGTTTAAAATAAAATAACATTTTAACTTTTTATGTGGATGTTATGCTCAAATTACACTTTTTCTTTACATAGATTTTTTTTGGAGAAACTAATGCATCTGGCATTGAAAAAATGTGCATTTTTGTTTTTTTTTTAAAAAGAGAATGAAGAAGTTCAGTTTTGAAACAGTTTCTAAATGTTCTTAGTTTTCACAAAAATGTTTGCTTGAATTCTATTGTAATTTTTTATTTTTTCCCCTTTAAACCAACATAGGTAATATCCTTAAGATTAAAACTTCAGAAACTTCAGGAAGATGCAGTTGAGAATGATGATTATGATAAAGGTGAGTTTTAATTTGTTTATTGATTGTTTTGTCATCATGTCCCAATTTTCTTTCCATCTTTACTCATATCTACCTTTTGAATCCCAAAAGAATTGTACAATCTGTTCCTCTGATCATCTCTACCAGGGAATAGTTGACTCTTTTACAGCATTATTGTTTTGTAGATTTCAAAGTACTTCATGAACATTAATCCTTTGGGTTATAAATATAACCTTATCAATTGTCCAGAAACACTTAGCATACTCACACAATAAAAATTATATTAGCTTGCCACCTGTCTGCCCATGGTGTGATGTATCTATAATCCACTTGTTCATAAAAAATATTCGTCTGACACCTATGATATGCTAGGGAATATGGGAGACAATAGGAAAGTAAGACAGACATGGTATCTGCCCTTGTGATGCCAGTAAACTTAAGCCTTCATGGGGCTCTCTGACTTCATAATTTCCAGAACCAGAGATAGGAAATGAGGTGAATTTGAGAAATGTCAGACTGTGCCAAAGGGGGTCACATGCATCAAATTTCCACATACATGGCCTAAAATACCCAAGAGAAAAAGAAGTTACAACATTAGACCAGAGATAGAGGGACTGATCTGAGGCCAGGAAAACAAACAAACAAAAAAACAAAAAAACCAATTAAAATGAGGCACCAAAATAGAAGTTGGGCTGCAAGCAGATGAGGGCTGACATGGGGGTTGAATGGGCACAGGGTAGACTGAGTCAAAGGAAAGCTTTCAGGTATGGTTGTCCTGGGAACAATCCTGAAAACTTTAGATGCTCATTGCAAGATCTCACACCCATTTCTGCTGGGTGTGGGAAAGAGAAAGGGCTGAAAATGACATGTAGATTCCCCTAGGCACCTACTAACTTGATAGATACTCCTGCTATTGAGCAAGTTAGGACACCCAGGATTGGTATGGAAATGGAATGTAGGTTTAAGGATTCTTCTGGAAGCTGGTTAGCTTTAAGGCATGGGTCTTCAGCATTTAGCCCATGTGACATTCTCATTGTATGTGTCATAGACTGTTGGAATTAGGGCACTATGGGAATAAGATAAGTGATTTCCAAAAGGAGGTAGAAAATCCTGTTCTAGGAAATGCTGTTGCATGTTCTCATTACCTATCCATTGCAGTTGGGTTTAGAAAGTCACGGGGCATGGGAGGAAGGGAGAAAGGACTGGAGACAGAGGAGGGACTCTTGACATTCTCCCAGTCCTCCTTCTACAGGCCACTTGATTTCATAATAACACTGGGTGGAGGATGAGTTGCCTGAGAGAGGAGGCAAGTCGGAGGCAGGGGAAGGCACCCCTCAAGCCCAGCGTCAGTGGCTTCAGCCCGGGCACAGCTGTAGGCAGGGAGAAAATGAGCTATTCCTGGGCCAGGGCTCACCTGCTGGATTTCATCTATGAGAGATAATTACAGCTAGTTTTGAAGCTGCCCACTATTGCACAGATTTATTTTTATTACCATGAATTGAGTCCTGGACTCTCTACCTTTAATGACACTGTAACACATAAAGCTTACAATGCAGTGAAAAAGTAGGCCAATCAGGCCCTAGTTTGTCCCCTGCTCCTGCTTAGGACCTGGTGAACTTTCTAGACTTGGTTCTCTCAATGGCTTCATTAAATGGAGACCTCACTTCTTTAATCTTTTCTCCAAACATTCCGCAACACCTAAGGGAATGGGGTTTGAGAGGATACACCTCATCAGGGAAGCTCAAAGAATACAGGCATCTTCTTTAGTGTTTCTGCCTTTTTCTGTTCCTGTTGGTACCTCACTACTTACTACATCAGAAGTTTCAGGGTGGGCTCAGCATTCTGTGTTTTCCCAAGCCTTCCTGGTGACTGGGGTGTGTCCTGAGGCTTGAGAAAACACTGGTGCAGAGTTTATGCTAGTGAGCACTAGGCCTGGGGGGCAGCAGCCAGCCAAGCCCTGGAAGAGGGGTTGAGTCTATGGGTTGTGTCCTTCCTGATCCACCAGAAATCTGTGCAGCAGACAAGCATCCTGGTAGGCACAGGACACACGATTTACATGCCACTCCCCTTGTCTTCTTCCCAATCCCACAGACCCGATTCAGTGTGTTGAGAGGTAAATGTTCTTGTGGAATATGCACAATGCCTGGCATATAGGAGGCAGGCCCTCAGTAAATGTGGTGTGAGGGAATTAATTAATAAATGACTTGCCCTCTGAATGCATGGAGGCTATGGATGGCAAGCTAGAGTGAATGAGGGGAAAGCACTCTTGCCACCTGAAGGTGGGCTTAGTTCTCAGCTCATCTGCAGTGCCCAGGATGGGGGGTGGGAGTGGGTGAAGGGAAAGATCTTTGCATAGAAATTGGCTTATGTGAAAAATATCTATTAAGTATCCATCGTATACAACAGCACTTCTCAGACTTTAATGTACTGTGAATAACCTGGGTTGGTAATGGATTAAAATGCAGATTCTGGGCTGGGCGCGGTGGCTCATGCCTATAATCCCAGCACTTTGGGAGTCCGAGGCGGGTGGATCACGAGGTCAGGAGATCGATACCATCCTGGCTAACGCAGTGAAACCCCATCTCTACTAAAAATACAAAAACAAAATTAGCCGGGCGTGGTGGCAGGCGCCTGTAGTCCCAGCTACTCGGGAGGCTGAGGCAGGAGAATGGCGTGAACCCAGGGGGCGGAGCTTGCAGTGAGCCGAGATGGCGCCACTGCACTCCAGCCTGGGCGACAGAGCGAGACTCCGTCTCAAAAAAAAAAAAAAAAAAAAAAAAAAGCAGATTCTGATTAAGTAGGACTGGGGTGGGGTGGGAGACTCCATTTCTAATGATCTCCCAAATGATGCGCATACTGCGAGCCTGTGAGCCACACTTAGAGTAATAATGGCATATAAGAAATCACAACAACGCCGTGTTTAAGGCATGCTGAATGCCGTCCTCAAGATCTGCATCTCAAGGAGTATGCAGTCCAGGAGGGGAAACTGGATAATACACAGTAAGAATAATAAAGCTATACATAATATGTCCCTTAAAATACAGACAGACCAAGGCGGGTGGATCATGAGGTCAGGAGTTTGAGACCAGCCTGGCCAACATAGTGAAACCCCGTCTCTACTAAAAATACAAAAAATTAGCCGGGCATGGTAACAGGCACCTGTAATCCCAGCTACTCGGGAGGCTGAGGCAGGAGAATCGCTTGAACCCGGGAGGCGGAGGTTGCAGTGAGCAGAGATTGCACCATTGCACTCCAGCCCGGGCAACAGTGGGAGCGAGACTCCATCTCAAAAAAAAAAAAAAAAAAAAAAAAATCATTAAAAAAAAAAAAATAAAGGCAGACAAAGACAGTCCCAAAAAGGGACAAATGACTTCTGCCAGAGATCTTGGGGTGGGTGAAGAATCAAAGTAGTGGAGGAGGAGGCAGTTTAGATGGGTCCTGAAGGATGGGTTTGATGCAACAGACGGGGGATTCCGGCAAAGAGAAGAGGGAGAAAGGGCACTGTTACCATGAGCCACCATCCCAAAGTTAGGCTTGAAAGGAGACTTGCGGCTGACTATGGTTTGAAATGGATCACAAAAGGGCTCAGTACTTGGACTTGTCAGTGATTGGTAAATTATTTTAAATTGATCACTAAGTCATTAGGAAAGTTTGGAAGACATAAAGGTAGTGAATTTGTTATGAGATTTGTTCAAATAAGATTTGAATACAATTTCTTCTCTCATATAGTTTATTGAGGGTAACTATTAAACATTTTAAGAATTGTTGAGTTTTTTTTCATAGTTTTTACTTGAATTTGCTCCTTTTTCTCTGTTAGGAGCAGCTGTGCAGCCCTGTTCTGTCTCAGGGGAAGGGGTCTGCCGGAATCTGAGAGGTTTGCCAGAAGAAATGAGAGGGTGACCTTATCTCCCTTGGTTTTTGCTGCTTTTTTCTTTTGCTCTTTCTTTCTTTCTAGTTTCACTCATAAAAATGACTTTGTGTTCCAAAGAAAGAAGCAGTTGGCACAGAGTAGAGAGTTCCATGTTTTATCTCATCAAAGTGCTGGCAAATTTCCCCACTAATGCCTTGTGGGAAAACCTTCTCAGGCTCTAATTACATCTCTCCATCACTAGGGAAGTAAAGTTAATATTTCCTTATATTCTTGCATAAGGTGGGAGGGCTTGGGAGAAAAAGAATAAGGCTTTCATTAATAGCATTTACATAGCGTCCTTCTCCAAGAGGATTCATTAGATTCATTGCATTAATGCCTATCCCGTGCTTATGGTCAGGTGAGGGGCAAGTTTGAGACCTCAGAGTCCTGCAGAGAGAGGAACTGTGGTCAGTACTGGAGATAAGGATTCCAGCTCTGACATGGGTGGGGCAGAGAAAAGGTGGGCGTGGGCAACAAGTTTCTATGTGGTTACTGTTCTAGTTGTTCCTGCACCTGTTTGTGCTCCATAATATCCCCCTGGCTGCTCGTGTCCCATGTCCACCAGTGACCATGCTCACTTCCACTTCCGATGTGAGCAAGGAGAGATTGTGAAAAGGAAGGAACACAATTTTGGGAACTCAGCATTTCAGTGACTTATATCAATGTGACATATAGAGCAGCTGGCTTCACTCTGCTTGTTTAGAATTTCCTTTTTGGAGTAAAAGTAGCCAGCATCATATTACTTTCTCTATCCTTTGTCTCAACTCATATCCATTATGACAGAACTCTAGTATAATAAACATTTATATACAATGACAGACATTGAAAGAAAAATGATGGTGGCAGAGGCCAAGCATAAAAACACTCTAGGGTGAGTCTTTTGTCTAAATTACCATAATGTCCCTTTGTCTGAATTATGTCTTGAGCAAGATTTCTCTATCCTCAGTTTCTCGTCACTGATGGTGTGCAAATTACCCAACCAGATACCCCTTTCCTTCACAGGGAACCTGCCTTACACCTCCCATAGGGTTTGGTGTCTCAGTGGCTTCCAGGAGCCTGGCAGTTAGAACCAGAATCCCTGCCACATAAGCGTTGATGTGACTGAACACAGCACAACCCCAGAGATTTCCTTTTCCCTGCGTTTCATTCCAGTCTAGAAAGAAGAAAACAAGATTGAATAGAATCGGCCATTCTTATATCCTCAGGACTGCCAGAATCAATGGGATGTGGATGCCATCTGGGGGCCCATGGAACATAAATGCTTTTCTTGGCAGCCTGTATCATTTTGCTTTCTGACTTAAAAAGTGGACTGCAATTGAAATCTGCTCAGAGAGACAGGTCCAGCAAAACTGTCACTTTATAATGTCTGCACAGAAAAAAAGCAAACATGACCACCAGTGCAATTTCCACCTGCAGCTCCCTTGAACAAGGCACTTCTCTCCCTGCCTGCACACCAGGACTTTGGAGTGTTCTTGTCTGTGCTCTATAGAGCTTTCCCTTCCTTTGCTGTGAGATCTGCTTGCTATATCACCTTGTCCTGGTATACTAACAAAATCTGCTGATTAAAACCCAAATCAACAGCACAAATCTCAAGTATGTGTCATGAGACTCACTACATCCTTAGCACCTATGAAAAATGCCAACACTTAGACCTGCAAACACAAATGGGAAATGCTCAAAGTCACCATTGGCTATGATCTCTGCCCTTAATTTACAGAATTGTAAATTCTCCTGCAAACAAGAAAAGAAGCTAAGATAGTGCAACCAAGTAAAAGAAATGCATTTTATGTTTCCTCTTTTTATGATATGTTTGTTTTATTAGATAGCTGCTGCTCTGGTGCCAATCATAACATCAAAAGACACAATCCTGAATGCCATCATCCTGAATGTTGAAATCTCCCAAAATTAAATCCCTAAAACCCCAAATTCCTAAAGTCTAAATCCCTAAAGTCTAAAATCCCTAACATCTGCAATCCTGAAAAATCACAGTCCTGAAAGATTAAAATCCCACATGCTGGAATTCTGAAAACCAAATGTGGGGAAAGGATTTAGTGAGTTTTCAGTTGTGTCATGTTAGTTGCATCATGGTAGGTGGAACTATTACCTTTTTATTGTCTTTATTTGGAAATTAGGTATGGTTTAAGAAGATGCATATAGGTGCCCAGCTGACAAGGGGTGGACTTGTGGACTTAATTTTAAGTGTCAACTTGATTGGATTAAGGAATACCTTGAAACCTGGTAAAGCATTATTTTGGGTGTTTCTTTGAGGGTATTTCCGCGGAGATTAGTATGAGTCTGCGTGTACTAGGTAGGGAAGATCTGTGTTTAATGTTGGCAGGCACCATCCAATTGTCAAGGGCCCAGAGAAAACAAATGTAGAAGGCAAACTGGTCTCTCTCTGAGAAATGAGACAGACTTTTTCCTGACTCCATGGACATCAGAAATTTGACTGCATGAAAGTGCATTATAACAACGTTGACTTTGTGTGTAAGCACTGTGCGTATACATAACAATGTTGGGATTTCCTCAATAGATGAAGAGATGTTTGGACATCGGCATTTGTGAAAAATAAAATTTCTTGAGATCTCTGCTCTCTGGGTGGCTGCATACGACCCCCTTTGCAGGTCTGTTCCATGGTGGGCACATTCTCATTCGTTGCCTGATTACATCACGTGATTACTGTGGGAAGAATTGTCACTATCATTGGTTTTCAATTGAGGTCACGGAATCTGCTGAGAGGGAGGACCAGCTGTGTGCTCTGGCCACTCTGTCAATTTGTCTCCCATCCCTACTGGGTCTAGAGCATTTTGTGTCCCACTGTGGAAGACTGAGCTTTGTAGACAGTTGAGGACAAAACTTAGCTAGGAAGTTTCTGACTTCTGGAAGCTCTTATTTACATGACAGTGAGGAAAGGAACAGATGAGCGCTCTACACTTGGAGGTAGCAGGAAAATTTTCCACAATTTTATCTAAAAAATTAGTCTATTTTTATCTAAAAAACAAATGCTAATTAGGAAATTAGCTCTTGTGTTAATCTTCAGCATTGTTCTCAGAAGAGCATAAGCTTGTATATCTGCTTCCTCTTACTTTAAGTAAAAACTTAAAAATTGGGAGATGGGCTATACATTAAGACAAAAATACCATAGGAAGAGAATATGAACAAAATGTCATTTATTTAGTTTGGTTGCATTGTCTTAGCTTCTCTTCCTGTTTACAGGAGAATTTACAATTCTGTAAGTTAAAGGTAGAGATCATAGCCAATAGTGACTTTGAGCATTGCCCATTTGTGTTTGCAGGTCTAAGTGTTGGCATTTTTCATGGGTTCTAAGGGTGCATGCAGTGAGTCAAGTGCCACCTACTTGAGATTTTAGCTTTGTGCACAGATGCGAAAGCTTATTGGCACCTGATGTACTTCCCTCTCATTCACAGCATAAAATGTGATTTCACGGTGATGCCTTTTCTCCTTGGCTTTGCATCTGGGTACACGCTTGGCTCTTTCTTAGGTCTTGGTAGGATTTCTTGGAACCCCTGCAGCTCTGGAGGTAGAAGCACAGTGGCATGAACATTCCTTCCTAACTGCCATGTCGTGGTGTGTTTCTCTCTGGGAATGGGACCATGCTGCTTTGCCTTCCCTGCCTATGAGGACATCAGTCTGTCCTATAAGGATCACGTGGAATGTTGTCATGGTGCATTATTCATGATAAACTCTGACAGCTTCAAGGTTAGGTGTGATGCTGAATACAAAACACCAAGCCAAGCCAAAAGAATTTTTTTTCTCTCCTCTATGTCCTCTCCCTAAATGGTTCTTAGTTGAAACTTGTACATGATTTCCTACTAGCTGAGCTGTAGCAGGAAGTTGTGCCAACAGTGGACACATCTTATTCACGTTTTATGCATCTGCCTATGAGAATCTGTAAGAGACACAAGCTGTTCATGTTGTAGAGTCCGGTTGATGAAGCAGAATGTGGTTCAGGAAGTCTCTCTTGCGCTTAGAAGACTGATTTTGAAGCTGCTCTCATAGGTTTTCTGCTTCTTCTGCCCTCTTAGAGTGGCTAGGAGGCTGCCTGGGATTCCAGGTAGGTCTTGGCCCTAAGACCTCAGCTGCTCCATAGAAGGTGGTCAGACAGGATGAGGCAGTGACTTCGATCATCTGGAGCCTCACACCTGTAATCCTAGCACTTTGAAAGGCTAAGGCAGGAGAATTGCTTGAGCCCAGGAGTTTGAGACCAGCCTCGGCAACACTGTGAGGTCCCATCTCTACAAAAAAATGACAAAAACAATTAGCCAAGCACAATGTCATGCACTTGTGTTCCCAGCTACTCGGAAGGTGGAGGTGGGAACACTGTTTTAGCTTGGGAGGCCGAGGCTGCAGTGAGCTATGATTGTGCCACTGCACTGCACTCCTGCCTGGGTACAGAGCAAGACCCTGTCTCAAAAACAAAAACAAACAAACAAACAAACAACTCAATAGAAATGAAAAGGATGTGCTAATGATGAGATGCAAACCCCCAAATTGACATGTACCTTCCCATTACAACAATTTTAGGTCCAAACTATGCATTTGGTGCAAATGGTTGATTTATCCTTAACAGGAAGGATGTCTTAGTCTGCTTGGACTGCCATGGCAAAGTACTACTGACTGTGTGGCTTAAACAATAGAAACTTATTGTCTCACTGCTCTGGAGATTGGAATTCTATGTCAAGTTGTCAGTAGGGTTGGTCTCTTCTGAGGCCTGTCTCTTTGGCTTGTAGACAGCTATTTTCTCCTTGTGTCTTCACACAGTCTTCCCTCTGTATGCATTGGTGCCTTAATCTCTTTTTATAAGGACACCAGTCATATTGGAATAGGATGCATCCTTGTGACCTCATTGAAACTGAATGGACCTCTTTAAAGGTCCAGTCTCCAAATACAATTAAATTCTGAGGTCCTGGGGGTTAGAACTCCAACATATGAATATTGCAGGGGGATATAATTTAGCCCAAAACAGGAAGCCTAAAGGGCTCAGGACAGAGCTAAATACTAAACACATTCAGGTATTTCCACAAAATTTGAATAATTTAGTTTGACTATCTGTGGTCATTGTGGTCATATGTAGACATTTGATTGAAACTTTTTTTTTTTTAAAGCAGACTTTTTGACACAAGTAAGTTGATTCTTCCCACAAGTGAACTTAGCTGTTTTTCACATTTTGTTTTATTGCAGAGCCTGGCTCTTAGGCCAGTATATCATGGTATCCCTTCACACAAACAACTATCTACTGAATATCTGCCAGATTTACCATGCCATGGTGGACAAACTATGCATAAAAAAATAGCCCACCACCAAGGAGTATACAGCCTAGTTGGAATAAAACATAAATAGTACAAATATGTGAAACTTCAGCTACCATTAGAATTGATTTTTTTTTTAGAATTGATGTTTATTTTTGTATGAGGACATATTTCTTTTTTTTTTTTTTTTTTTTTGAGACAGAGTCTTGCTCTGTTGCCCAGGTGGAGTGCGGTGGCGTGATCTTGGCTCACTGCAAGCTCCGCCTCCCGGGTTCATGCCACTCTCCTGCCTCAGCCTCCCAAGTAGCTGGGACTACAGGTGCATGCTGCCATGCCTGGCTAATTTTTTTTTTTTTTGGTATTTTTAATAGAGACGGGGTTTCACCGTGTTAGCCAGGACAGTCTCAATCTCCTGACCTCGTGATCCACCGACCTTGGCTTCCCAAAGTGCTGAGATTACAGGCGTGAGCCACCACACCCGGCCATGAGGACATATTTCAATAGGCAGAGACACAAATTAACCTAGTACCAGCTGAAAAGAGGACTTATGATCTGGTGTGACCAGAGGTGGCAAGAGTGATCAGAACTAACATGTTCTTCACTTTTTTCTCTGTATTGTGGCTTATTCTTTCAAACCTCTTGTTTTAGTTATTTATTGCTGCATGTGGTAGGCTGAATGATACCCATCCCTCCCCAAAGATACCCACATCCTACTCCTTGGAACCTGTAAATGTTACCATATTTGGAAAAGGGGCCCTGCAGATGTGATTGAATTAGAGACCTTGATGAGGGCATCATCCCAGATTATCTGAGGTGGGTCCTATATGACATCAGATCATGTCTGAGAGACGCAGTGGGAGATTGGACCAATTGAAGAGGAGGTGGTGATGTGACCACAGAGGCAGGGATTGGAGTGGTAGCTCCAAGCTAAGGAATTCCAGCAGCCACTGGAAGCTGGAAGAGACAAGGACAGGATTTTCCCCAAGAATGTTGGGAGGGAATACAGTCTGTCAATACCTTGATTTTAGCTCAGTAAAACTGATTTCAGACTTCTGGCTTCTAAAACTATGAGAGAATAAATTTATGTTGTTTTAAGCCTGTAAGTTTGTGGTAATTAGTTATAGCAGCCACATCCAATTTATATACGGCATAACCACCAAAAAACTTAAAGCAGTGTCAAAGAGTTACGTTAGCAAAATGGTAGAGTTTGCAGCTCCAACTTTGTTTCCCCACAGAAACATCAAAAAACAAACAGAAACCATTAGAACAAACATGATCAGAACTCTGGAAAATAGGCAAAAGTTTAAGCAACCAAGCAAACACTGAATAAAGAAAAAGGCCACTTGAAAATGGTGGGAAACTTTGTAGCATTTTTATTTGCTCTTGTCCCAGCCTTCTCTCTAGCAAGACAGTTCTCTTGATGATGACAGCCTTCATTCCCAGTGTAGGACCCTGGTCCCTGATTACAGAGGGACTAGAGAAGACCTTACTTATTGTGGATGTCTGTTCTAACCTGTCTGGGGGCTACGTTAAGTACTGACATAGGCATGTATCTCTGCTTAGCCTAACTTAGAACATAGGCTGGAAAAATGGCAGGCATTGCTTGCAAATGCTCAAAGTGAGCTAACAAACTGCAAAAACCTGGGGCAAAAGATTACTGGTTGAGGTGTACAATAGACCATCTAAAGTCCAGGTGCAAAAGCTGGAAGAGATTCTGTGGGAAATTAGGACATTCAAAAGCACCATGTATACAGGAAAATGTAGAAATCCATGCATATACTTGGGGCAAGATGCATGCTCAGAAAAGAGGAGAGAAGACCCTAAGCTTTCATTTCAGGCTGATCCTTGAGTTAAGTGTAAGGTTGGGTAAGTATTGTAGGAGTTCCCCAGCACAGAGCCAATCTGCAAAGACTGGGAAAGGAAGTTTGGAAAAGTATCTACAAATGGACTATTATAGCCATCAAAAATAAAAAACAGCAAACCCTGGGGAAGGGTGAGAGTCCGATAGCCAGAGTTTACATTATAATATTTAAGTGCCCAATGTTCAACAAAATATCACAAGGCATACAAAGGAAACGAGAACACATGGCCCATTCAAAGAGGCAAAATAAGTGGACAGAAACTATCCCTGAGAAAGCCCAGCCATCAAATTTATTAGACAAATACTTTAAAATGATTGTCTTAATGATGTCCGAAGAACTAAAAGAAAACATGGACAAAGAACTAATGGAAACCAGAAAAACAGTGTATGAACAAAATGAGAAATAAAGTGATAGAAATTATAAAAATTGATCAAACAGAAATTCTGAAGCTGGAAACTGAAAGCTGAAATGAAGAATTTACTAGAGGGTTAGACAGAAGATTTGAGCAGGCAGAAGAAAGAATCAGTGGACTTGAAGATACTACAATGGAAATTATTGAGTTTAAAGAGCAGAACGCAAAAGTAACGAAGAGAAGTAAAGAGAACTGAAGGGACCTCTAGGACATCATGAAGCAGATATATATATATATATATAGGAGATATATATATATATATATATAGGAGATATATACATATATATAGGAGATATATATATAGGAGATATATATATAGGAGATATATATATAGGAGATATATATATATAGGAGATATATATATAGGAGAGATATATATAGGAGATATATATATATATAGGAGATATATATATATCTGCTTTCACTGTTGTTATTCAACATTGCACTGCAAGTTATAGTCAGAGCAAAATAGATAAAAGGCATCATAATGGAAGGGAACAAGTAAAATTATCTCTATTTGCGATTGACATTATCCTATATGTAGAAAATCTTAAAGAATCCACAAGAAAGCTGCTAGAGCTAATGAACAAATTCTATAAAGTTTTAGGTGTGAAAGTCAGTCATGTTTTTATCTACCTGGAATGAGCAATCCCAAATGGAAAATAAGAAATAATTCTATTTATAATAGCATTTAAAATAATAAAATACTTGGAAATAAATATAACCAAAGAAGTGAAAGACTTTTACATTAAAACATGTAAAATAGATTTTACCTTGAAACATGTAAATAGAGTTTACACTGAAAAATGGAAAATAGCCCAGAAATACACCCATATATCTGTGTCCAGTTGATTTTTGACAAGGGGTGCCATGTCCATTCAATGGGAGAAAATAGTTCTTTCAACTGATGGTGCTGGGGCAACTGGATTTTCACATCCAAAGAATAAAGTTGGACTCTTGTCTCACACCTTAAACAAAGTTTAACTCCAAACTGTGCAATGATTATGGATAAAAGTTTGGTGGTTCTTCAAAAAGAGAAACATAGAATCACCATATGATTCAGCAATTCTACTCACAGATATGTATGAAACAGAGACAGAGAGAAAGAGACAGAGAGATGGAGATGGGGGAGAGAGACAGAAAGAGAGAAGAGAGAGAAACAGAGAGAGAGGAGAGAGAGAGAAAGAGATAGAGAAAGAGACAAGGAGAGACAGGCAGAGAAGAGAGACAGAAAGAGAGAGATAGGGATTGAGAGAGAGAGAAAGATATAGGGAGAGAGAGAGAGAGAGAGACAGAAGGAGATGGAGGAGTCTCTTTCACACATATGCACATACACAGTATGCTGGAGGAAGCTCTATCATCTTTTATGAATCTATCTTAAGAAATTATGTTGTTACTTCCACCACATGGATTCATTTGAAACAAGTCATCAAAGTTGTCCCATCTTCAAGGGGAGAAGAATTAGACCATTTTTTTGATGGAAGAATGTCAAAGAACTTGTGGGCATATTTTAAAATGATCACACCACTTTATTCCATGTGGCAATTGAAGACTTTTGAATTAACAACACACGACTAGAGAAGAAAAAGAGACTTCCCCTCTTGGATCCAGTATGAAAACCTTCAGGAAAGGATTGGGTTAGGTGCTGACTCCTTGGACCAATGACCATAACCAAAGGGATGAGGTACTGTAATTAGCCAAGCCTGGCTACCTGTCTGTCTCTGTGATGAGGTGGGTACATCTGTTAGGAGAAGATGGGGGAACTGGTGCAGTGCAGATAAAAATAGTAGCTAGTATGCTTATTGCCTAGTGAAACATGCACACACGAAGCAATTAGGAATGATTGAGAGCAGCATATGAATTTAAAAATGAGGGATGTTAAAAATGCATAAAGAAGATTAAAATGAAAACACTCCTTACAGAGTTCATTCATTTGGTCAATACAGTCATTTCCATCCCAAAACCTGGTCTTACATGTTAGCTTGAAGGTGCCTCTTGCAACAGATTTTCCAGAGACTTTTGTCTGATCTTTACTGGGACCAAAGTAACCTTTGATTGTCTCTGACTGTGGCTGTTTTTCCGGGAGCTTTATGTGCTGGGCTCAGGAAAAGTTCAACCCATCAATAGGTTATCACATATATATACTCTGGGACTGATTGGACCACATTTTCTCACTGAATTGACTGATTGATGAATTCAGTTGGCAGAATTAACTCTTCTATGTCTACATGAAGTGCCATTTAGAAATAATCAACTCTTAATCAGCCTGGGATAGTCAGTACTAAAAGCACCTTCATGAGCTGTGAAAAATTTAATGCATTTATTTACATATTTAGTTTTAAATTTTAGTATATTGTTAGTTGAGGTATAGTTTCCAAACAAAGAGCCGTGAAATGTTTAGTAACTGTCTCTGTACCTCTGGATGAGGACAGCTCAGCCGGGAATGGAGGGGGACTGGGTGAGGAGACCAGAATGTCAGTGTGGCCACGCAGCACACTTTTGTTTTGTCTTCTGTCCTTGAGCACTGGCTTGTTCCTGGATAAACTAGGCATAATAATACCTATCCTGCTGTGTGGGTGGAAGGTTAAATGTGATAATGATGTGTGTGAGATGCCTGCACAGTGCCTGGAGGTATTGAAGAATTATTTGCTGCCTTTTCTTTTTCTACCTACCACTTACCCGCTACCCCCGGGTGCTACATGTTAGAAAACACTGTGTAAAGTGTGGATGCTTCTGAAAAATCTCCCTGCCAGCAGTTAGTGCCAATAGCGTGCAGAAAATAAGATGCAATGATTTGGCTTCTTTTCTGTTTGGCAATAAGAAGCTTATTTGCACATAGCCTGATTTCTTTCAATCTGCAAAAAAAAAAAAAAAAAAAAAAAATTGGAAATGAAGTAAAGCAATATATATTAAAACATGCAAATTATAAAGAAGCATTTAAAGCTTGACTACTCTTCACATTGTCGTATGGCAAACTATTTTTTTTATCTGCAGTCTAAATTTCATGACCTAGAATCTCTCGTTTTCTGCCTGATGCTTTGTTGCATGACATTGGATGACATTGAGAAAATGAAATTGAAACCCTGCTTGGGCTTTGAAAGAACTGGCAATCCTGCTTTTAAGAGTGGAAGGAAAAAAAATGGAAAGGGAAGGAGGAAAATGGGACATACATGGAATACTAAAGACAAGACTGAAGAAAGAGAGGTTGAAAGCTCTCTCTCTTCTGATTATGTTTCTGTGGGTCTCTACTGTTTTGTGGCCTTCACCCTCATGGGCAGAGAAGGCTAAGGTGTAATTCTCAGGTAACCATTTAATCTTTCCATTTAAAATGGTCATTTACAAACATGGAGTCCATTTCCTTTGCATAATGGCAACGAGATGGCGCCTGTGCTCCTTCGTGGAATTCCTTGCTCTGGGTGATGGACTGGACAGCTAATTTGTTTTTATAAAGTGTCTGGGCACTTAATTAAATCTTGCATCCTGTCTAATAAAAAATCAATATCAAATCCACTACCAACACGTTCTGGATGGCAGAGAGGCATGCCAGAAGAAAATCTTGAGTGGCGGTTCCTTCCAGATTTAGCAAGCTCTGCAGTTTGTGTTTGGCTGTTCTCTCATCCTGTTGCTTGGCCCAGCTCCTATTCCTAAGTCAATGAGGGCTTCAAAGCATGGTGTGAATGCATCAGCTGCTCTAGAGGTCCTGTCTTTGGGAGATGAATTGTGGCCCATTAAAAAAAAGTTCTCTAGGGAAATGTGAATAAGTTTCCTGCAAGTCTCGGAAATAAAAACCTTTATGGTATATAAATATTTGAAGGTTAACAAGGTCTTCAGTTGGAGGAAGGCAGGCCCTTGGCAGAACCAAAGGGCATCTCACGAGTGGGTAGAAAGTTATAGGAGGGATTGGTCTTTTCTGCTTTGGTGTTGGTAGTGGTAGCTGGGGGTCTCTAGGCTGATTGTGTATGATCTGGAGTCTGGAGCCTTGCTACAGTTTGAACTGGTCAGAAAAGCCAAGGCCCGCCTCCCTCTGCTGACTCTGTCTCACTGAGCCATAGGCGTGGGGTCCTGCATTGGCCATTTCAGTTTTGCTTGTTGATGAGGAAAGGTAGATCAAGTGGGTCAAGGTGGCAAGGGTCATGTATTCAGAGTAGGGACTGAGTGGAGTTGGAAAATAAGCAGCAGTGAAGAAGAGAGATCACTCCAGCAATCTTCTCACTGCCAAAAGTCTCCAGGTCCCATAGACTGAGCACCATTCAATAATTCTATGTGTTGTATGAACGCATCAGACAATTCCACAACCTCCTTACTTCATTTGCCTGCTTGTCATAGTGCGAGAATTGCTTTCATTGTCCATTTGTTTCTTGACAGTCAAATCTCTTCATTAATAAAAAAAAGACTTGAATTCATGGCACCATTTTATTTTCCAATACTATTGTATAGAATGTCCAAACTAAGATCTAAAGACTATCTTTTTCCCACCATCCCTCTAGAAGTTCCTGATCTTTGTTATATCTCAGCCCAGCTCCTCTTGCCATATCCCCTATTACAATGAATGGCAAGTCAAGCAGAAAAAAGCCTGTGGGTCATTGTGGACTTTCAGCTCTCCCGGGACATGAGCCACTACACCTTTTCGATTTTATCTCTTAAGTATCTCTTCCTTCTGTCCTTTGATCTCGTAAGTGTTGTCTGGACACACGCACTCGCCTCTTAATGGGTCCTTGGTTTCTATTTTCATCCCCCTCCAAAGCATCCTTCGATCATCCTTCAATCCCTTTCCAATCATCCTTCATGTTGTAACCAGTCTTCTTTCTAAAACTCATTTACAATTGCTTTTCTACTTCATCTCTCTGCGTGACTAATGTCACTATCAGGACAAATGTTAAATATGGCCTGCCATAACCAGCTTCTTGCCCTGGCCCTTGCTTAGCTTTCTAACTTCATTTCTTGCCATTCCTTCCCCACTTCAAGCAACTTTCTCTCTCTTTTTTTTTTTTTTTTTGAGTTGCAGTTTTGCTCTTGTTGCCCAGGCTGGAGTGCAATGGTGCAATCTTGGCTCACCACAAACTCCGTCTCCCGGGTTCAAGCGATTATCCTGCCTCAGCCTCCCGAGTAGCTGGGATTACAGGCATGTGCCACCACACCTGGCAAATTTTCTATTTTTAGTAGAGACGGGGTTTCTCCATGTTGGCCAGGCTGGTCTCGAACTCCTGACCTCAGGTCATCTGCCCGCCTCGGCCTCCCAAAGGGCTGAGATTACAGGCATGAGCCACCGCACCTGGCTGCAACTTTCTCTTTAGTCCCTTGGTAGTTCCCGAAGGCATACTGCCTTGTCCACTGTTTAGTACCTCTGCCTGCACTTACCACCTCCTTCTCCTACTAGGTCATCCAGACTTGGTTTCTGGTTGGTCATGGTGTGGCTCATGCCACAATCCTAGCTTTTTAGAAGGCTGAGGTGGAAGGACTTGAGGCCAGGAGTTGTAGACCAGCCTGGGCAAATAGCAGGACCCCATGTCTATAAAATTTAGCCAGACATGGTTCTGTGCATCAATAGACTCAGCTACATGGGAGGCTGAGGCTGGAGGATTGTTTAAGCCCAGGAGGTCGAGGCTGCAGTGAGCTATGATCACACCACTGCACTCCAGCCTGGGTGACAGAGCAAGACCCTGTCTCCAAAAAAACAAAAAAGACTTGGTTTCAGTGCCCCTTCTTTTGAGTGCTTGGTATATTCTCTATCCTCATACATATTGTGTTTTAGCATAGCTATTGGCTGTCCTCTTGGCTAAACTGTTAGCCTCCTAGGGAAAGAAAGAGACCCTATTCATTTTTACTCTTTATCCCCAGAACTTAGCATAGTGCTTGGTCAAAGTAGCCTCTCAAGAAGTGGTTGTTGGATGAACAAGTGAATTCATCTTATTATCACTTATCATCTTATTATCATTGTTACATTATTAATAGCTGATAATTCTACTAACAATAGAATTATAAAGCATTAGCGCTTTTCAGGTCAACCTTGTTAAAAACCTGACTGCAAAGTTCAATTCTGCCATTTGCTAGCTGTATAAGCTTGGACAAATTATTCTTTCTAAGCTTTATTTTTTCTATCTATAAAATGGGATAATAGGGTTGTTTGGAGAATTAAATGAGATGGTGCATGCTAAATATTTGGGTTATGTATCATTCAGAATGAATGTTTGTTAAATTATACTCACTGGTAAAATATTTAGGTATTTTAGATCTGCTAGAGATAGGCTTTTTAATCTCTTTGTGTTTTTTTGTTCAAATGTATTTGCGAACTGATTATTTTCTTAGATAATCATTTTCTTAGATAACCTTAGCGCACCTAATTTGATGCCTGTTGAGAGTAGAGAGAAACCAAAAAGCTCACAGCAGAAGGACTTTTTCATATGTCACAGTAGACAAACAAAGTTATTTTCCGTCACAGCCATGTATTGGGTGGAATGACCTTTAGTAGCTGATGACAGCGATGTAGCAGAAGGGACAGTTTTCCACTTGACCTTTATACAATGTGCCAGCTTGTCTCATAACACAAAATAAGTTGCAATTGACAGGCTTGATAGAACACTAACCCGACAGGAGACAGACACTGAAGCAGCCCCTGTTTGCTACCGAGCGTGGCAACTTCCATATACCCAAGGGTGCCTTAGGGATGACTACTCCCTAAGTCATGGCCAGAACATTTAGTGTAATTAGTTCCTCTAGGAGTTTATTGTGAGGTGAGATTTGCTCATAATGAATTTTCATTGCCAAGGACTTGGTTACTCGCAGGTACCCCACTATAGTCTTTTGACTTTTCTGTCTTTGTAAGCTGTCTTCCTCTCCTCTTTGCTCTTTGCTTTTACCATAGGATGTTTTCTTCTTTACTCTTTTTAATTTTTTTTCTTTAAGACAGGGTCTCGCTTTGTTGTCCAGCTGGGGTGCAGTGGCATGATCATAGCTCACTGCTGCCTCAAATTCCTGGGCTTAGGCGATCCTCCTGCCTCAGCCTCTCAAGAAGCTGGGATTACAGGTGCATGCCACCACACTTGGCTAATTTTAAAAATTTTTTATAAAGACGGGGTCTCACTATGTTGCACAGGCTGGTCTTGAATGCCTGGCCTCAAGCGATCCTCCCACTTCGGCCTCTCAAAGTGCTGGGATTACAGGTGTGAGCTGCTGCACTCGGCCTCTTCTCAGCTTTTCTAATGCTTCATTTTTGCCGTTCCCTAACTTGACTACTTTTAGTTTTCTACCACTGGGTGATTTTTTTCCCTTGGGGCTTTCTGCATGAGGGCTAAAATGTGAAGTTCTTAAGTTTGTTCCTTCTCCCAGATAGTCACAGGGCAGAAGTGGTTCTGAGCAGCAGGTAGGAAACGTGTTGTCGTTTCGTTTACAGGTTTGTTGGAGGAAGTTGCTACCAGTCATCTCACTTTGCATACCTAGTTCTGACATTGACTGCATTAATAACCACAGGTAATTTACTTTACCTCTGCAGGAAGTCACTGGAAGGGTTACATTTTCATTTGGGGTGAACAGCAACTGTGGATACGGATCATGAAAATTGACAATGGAAAATGGGCATGCCATTCTGGAACTTTTCCCAGCTTTTTTCCAGAGCCAGGTCTGTCCTGATGTGAGAAATGATGTCCTCATCTGCCAAATGAGTACAATAACATTAGCTCTACCTACCTTGCTGGGCTGATGAAAGAAACAGAGGAAATAATACATATAAAAACTGTGCTGATTGAAAGGAGCTATGTCAACATATTAATTCAGGCTGTCCCTGGTTGGAGTATTGTGGATAATGTTATCTGCTTTTTATTCTTTTCCACACTACAGATGAGAAAAAAAAAGAAAAAAAGTTTTTAGGAGAGAAAAAATTAGAAGAAAATGTTTAAAAATACTCTCTGGAAAGTTAGAATTCTAATAAAATCCTTAGTACCACAGTTGAGGATTTGGCTTCATGCTCCAAGTAAGTAAATCTGGCTGAGATTAATATTTGATGCATATTTATGAAATCAGATATATCAAAACTGTATCAAAAGATATAAATCTTTTATTTTTCTTAAAGACCTTATACAATGAAATGTTCATTTATATCATATGGACTTGGGGCAGCAACAAAAACTTGGCAACCTGGGGTTGCTGATATTTACAGCTGTTCAACATTTTTTGGATCCATGTATTCTCTTCAGAACACCAGAAGGCTGTGCTTTTCAAATTGTGTTCTGAGGAGCCTCAGAGATGCCTTAGGGAAGGCTGAAAGGGAAGCTTCATCCAGAGTACTTTGGTTTCCATCTGTTATTAGTCCAGTAAGATTTCATCTCAAAAAGGGCTCTGTTGCTAAAAAAAAGAAAAAGAAAAACAAACAATGAAAAAAAATCAAGAAGTAAACAAAAATTCTTGAAAAGCACTGCCTTGGCTGGGCACGGTGGCTCACGCCTGGAATCCCAGCACTTTGGGAGGTCGAGGCGGGCAGATCATGAGGTCAGGAGATTGAGACCATCCTGGCTAACATGGTGAAACTCCATCTCTACTAAAAATACAAAAAATTAGCCGGGTGTGGTGGCGGGCACCTGTAATCCCGGCTACTCGGGAGGCTGAGGCAGGAGAATGGCATGAACCTGGGAGGCGGAGCTTGCAGTGAGCCAAGATCGCGCCACTGCACTCCAGCCTGGCGACATAGCAAGACTCCATCTCAAAAAAAAAAAAAAAAAAAGCACTGCCTTAAGGACTTTCAAAAATGGTATCTCAGATATTTGGAAACTATTGTTGAGAGAAAGGAAGAGATTCCTCCCAAATCTGGGCTTCTTTTTCATGTTTGATAGAAGCTTGAATTTTGAGTAAAAAACACAGTATGCTAGAGATGCTTAACCTGGAATGACCATGGTATTTGATACAAATGAGGTTCTGTAGAATGCGGACAGCTCTGCCTGGACTGCTCTATGAAATAGATCTTTCTACTTATCCACACTCGAACAAGTGTGTCCAGCATAAACATCACAGTGCTTCAAATACTGTTAGTCCCAGTCAAGGATGTTATTCTGTGTCCATTCCACTCAGAGGTATTCATTTTCTTCTTGGCAGCTGGAACCAATTGCTTTGGATCCACCATGGAAGCCTCGACATCCTGAACCAAACTCCTATTAATGAAACTTCCCAAATTTAAACAAAGCAAGACAAATAGATATCCACACAGCGTAGATCATGACTTCTTTAGACATCATGAAAAGAAAAAGAGGACCCACGTGGAAGAATACGCTCATTTATGATCAGGGTAGCATCATATTCCTCTCCCTTTTAACATTATTTCAGGATAGCAGCTGTCTGGATGCTGGCCATGGGCTTGAAAAAAACCAGGTGGGCATTTCTGCCCACTGTACCGTTTCTCCCATGCGTTTCCCAGTCCCCTGTCATGGCATGAAAAAACCGCTATTGTTCTGTGTTGGGACAATTAGATTTTTGTAGGGGGGAGAAACCACCCAAAAGCAAATGGAAAAATATGCTATGATTAATGTCAGTTACGGGAATTAAACTTCGGAGGCCTTTAGGACAATTATGAAGGAATCATTTTCCCCTTGGTGGCAATATGTACTACAGTTGTCCCTTGATATCCATGGGGGATTAATTCCAGGACGCCTGTGGATACAGAAATCCACGTGTACTCAAGTCTTGTTTTCAGTGGATATGAAAAGTCGGCCCTCCATATCTGCAGGTTTTACACTTGGCGAATGCTGTATTTTTGATTCATGTTGGATTAAGGATCTGGAACCCCTGATACAGACTGTATTTATTGAAAAAAAAGTCTGCCTATGAGTAGACTCACATGTTAAAACCCGTGTTGTTCAAGGGTCAACCATAACTGCAGGCAGAACATCTGGGCAGGAAGCTCCTGCAGGAAGACCTGTAAACTCAGGTCTGTGGAACGGCGATGATCTTCTTCCCTTGCTTCCAGAATTATTGCTGTGAGATCAGGTGCACTGGCTACGACCTTACTCTTTGTGCAGAACTTATTTCTGGTCTGGTTTAAGTGAACGTTATTCTTTCTGTGCAGTCCTGTGGTTACATCAAAGGTTAAATTTCATATAGCATGTCTGTTATATCAGACTTCTCTGATGGCCTGTCCAGAGCAAACATTTTAAAATATTGGTCCTATTCTGTCTTATAACAGTCTGCTCTGGTGATTTTTGTCTCATCAATTGGATTATGACACTGTCAGCCACTGTTAGTGTTATTCTCAAATTCAGTCTTCCATTCATCTCTCCTTCCCTTCCCTGGCAGACAGACTTCTGCAGCCACTGGGACTGTTGGGGTGAGGAAAGGCAAGAACCGATGTTTCATTCTCTCCCTCCCTTCTTCCTCCCTCTTTTTTGTTGGTTGTGGGGTGGGCTACATCTTCTTACCCAAACAACCAGGAGCATTTGTTGGCAAGTTTATTGTGCCCAGTGCCGATGTCTGGACAATTAATTCCCTAGGTCAGTGGCTTTCACAGTTTGTGATGGTGACTCCAGGAAGGAAACTCACCATGACCCTGTATATACATAGAACAAAAATGCAGCCCACTCTGATATTGTATTTGTTCTATTCTAGTTCATTAAAAGTGAATGTTGGTCTTCATCCTTTAAATGGATATTGTCACCTGCTAATAGATTGGACCAGTATTTTGAACAATGGCCTTGGTACTTCATTTGGCTTTGCATGCTCAATTGTCATATCCTCTGTGTGGGGAAGGGGGCAGGGCTGCTTCCCTGGGCTGTCTCCTGGGATGCCCAGGGGCCCTGCCTGCCTGCGTGGGTCCTTGGGGACCTAGAAGTTCCGGTTTTTCATGAAACAGCGGGGCTCTAGAAGAGCCTTTTCCCTTATCCTGACTCTTCCACCCTGATTTCTTCCCGAGGACTTCTTACTATGTTTAAAGATGGCAGTGAAGTGGCCTGTGGGTTCTAGAACCCTGCAAACACCGCCCCAAGTGTGATACCAGTTTACCCTTCTTGTAGACATCCCCAAACTTCAAGGTGATTGTCTTGAAGCCCTTCACCCAGGAGAGGGAACCAGCGTACAATAACCGCTGTGCTGCAGGAGAGGGGAGGTAAAGAGTTGTCACAGCCTTGAGCCTAGCTCTTCCCCCAAAGGCAGTCTCTCTTTTCTTCTTCCTTCCTTTAGTCATCTGTGTATAGACACAGATGCAAACTTTTCCTGGAATTCCTAATCTTAAGCAGTCTTCAATAGGAGACCTGGCTTCAGAGTCTGTCCTTAAACAGTGAGGTGCCCTGTGTCTTTTATTCTTAACTGTGGCCTATCTCCACTCAAATTTTGGCATTTGGCGTTTGGTTGTCAGTGGTTATTTTACATTCTCAAGTGTCACTGTCATTTGGTTAGGGTAGTTGTCAGGGTGGTTCTGAGAGCCAAGTGTGTAGCATAGCTTTGTTGTTACAAATGAAAAGGCCAGTTCCCATTTAACCAGGTACTGCTGGCTTTCTCTACAGGATTTGGTCTACATCCATTAGTGCTCTTTGTTGTCCATGTCACTATAGGAGAGATTCCCCGGGACCTACAGGGTCACTGTCTGTTTCCAGGATCAGTGAGTCACTCCCTCGTGGCCTGTTATGGCTTTGTGTGACCACAGAGAGGGTCACGGTGGTGTGGAAGCAGGGAGGGGGAGTCAGCCCTCGCTGTGCAGCAACCACAGTGACGTCCCCAGTGATCAGGCTTCGTGGGGATGCTCAAGTCCCTCTTGATGATCAGCTCTAGTGATTCTCATGTTCTGCACGCACAGAATACATCCTGGAATAATGGTGGTGAGGTAGGAAACTGGCAAGACTTATTTTGTGTTCACAAGCCTCCTGACCCAAACAGGATCTGGTCCAGACAGGGTCAAGTGAAGAAACTGACGCAAACCAGCAGATGGCGACAAAAGCCATCCCTAACTGCCCTTATTGCTCATTAGCATAAGACATCCCACCAGCCCCATGACAGCTTACAAATGCCATGGCAACTACCGGAAGTTACTGCCCCTTTCCTAGGAAGTTCTAAATAACCCACCCCTCAATTTGCACTAGCTCACCCCTTAATTTGCCTGTAATTGAAAGTGGGAATAAACACAGTTCCGAGAGCCCATATGTTGCTGACTCTGCATTGCTGCCTATGAGTTAGCCCTGCTCTGCGAGGAGCAGTACGCTTCATTAAGATGATTGCTGTCTAACACCACCAGGTCGCCCTTGAATTATTTCCTGGTTGAAGTCAAGAACCTTCCTGGGATAAGCCCCAGTTTGGGGGCTTGCCTGTCCTGCATTGTTGGTATTTTCCGTTTGCTGAGAAAAGTTCAGTTAGTGCTGCCTGAGCTGGCTGAAGGCCCTTCTGGGCTGGGTCCATATGCCCAAGAGGGTGACACTGGCTGGTCTCGGGGGTGGTGTCTTTGAGGGAATGAGATTGGTCCTACGAGTGCTGGAGAAACTGCACACTGAAATGGTGTAGCCTAGCATTGTTAGGGAGTGGCAGATAGGAGCAAGAAGCTGAAAGCAGGGAGCAGACAGGAAGGAGCACATCCCCTTTCCTCCTCCAGCCTTGCAGTCTCTTTGGAGCTGGCAGCAAAGTCAGAAACATGGTTGGTCTACAGAGGTCCAGCCTCAGCATCACAAAACAGAAGATAAAAAGATATGTTTAGAGGGGAGAGACAATAGCTTAATAACAGGCACAGCCCCAAAATAACATTTTGCTTTTCCATGTTATGAACCAAGTGAGAGATAACATGAAGGCATGAAGAAGATGGAAATCTAAATATCAGCATCGTTCCTGATAACATAACATTATGGAATGTGGCTTGGGTATATGGCAACAGTGGGCTTCCTAATACCAAACCCCAGAACAAGAATTGCCCATGCAGCTGTGGGCAGTGATGAGCTGCAGGCACCTTTTTTTTGAGGCCTGGCCTTGTAAACCTGAGTTTCTGGAGGAGCAGAGCAAATGAGTGCTGCCCAAGGTCACCTGGCCTCCACCAAGGAGGGAGAGAGGAAGCACTGAGTTACACATGCTCAGTCTTAGGTCCCAGTTTACCAGTGGGGAAATTCAGTCTATCTCCCTGGACAGGTGAAAGCAGCGGGGCAACAGGGAAAGCCCCTCCTCATGGATACCTAAGGGCAGGGAAGACGGGCTGTATTCCCTCCCTACATAATGTAAAAGACAATATTCTCAAAAGCAGTTGACACAACAGGGGCCAGTTCTTATAAATTGATAGTATCACCCCAGAATGTGTTTGGGCAAAGGCAGTTTTATAAGTGGCCACATGATCTGGTTCCATGACATGCTGCTTAACTGCTCTGTCTTAATTCAGGAAGTGGTTTTAGAATATCAGGAAAAGAGAGACGGATGGACTGCATCATCTTTCTAGAAATATCATATCCATAATCACATCCATGATCTCTCTCTTAGCCTATGATGGACAAATAAGGGTCTGCAGTGAGATTTTACCCTTCCCTGCAAGAATCTGGGGTGTAACTATTCAGGATTATTCATTAAGAGAGGGCTCTCAAGCTAATAGAATCAACCTTGGATTAAGGCTGGCATAGTAATGCAGTCAGTACTTGGTAATTAGCAATATTCTGATTCTTTTCTTAAAACACCAGCTCATCCCTGCCTGCTCCTGCTTGTCTTCAGGTGTCTGCAAGATGATAAAATGGATGAACATAGCACATGATTATCCGTGGAATACTCAGAAACTATCATCTCTCGTGTTATAGCTTGCTTTTTCTCTATTTTTCATGGACACCTGTGCTTCTCACTCTAATTTTACATTGCACACCTATAATGGATTCTTATTTTCTGCTACTGATATTTTTGCTAGTGTATAAGATAGAATTTCATATATCAACATGTCCCAGTATTCCTCAGAGGGCTTAATGACTTCCAGGTGGTTCAGAACCACTGATGCCTGGGGCCCTAAAGGGAGACTGCTGCATGTCCTACATGTGTGAATGGAGGACAGAGAGCGAGTTTAGGACAGGGGGCAGGGATGGACATTTTACATTTTGAAGAAGTAAACACTGGGCAAGACTGGCCATTAATTCCTCCTCTATTTGACCATCCTCTGGGTGTTGGGACTCACTGAATATAGGCTGAGTTTCAGAGAGACGCCCCTTGAGTAGAATTAAATCTGAATCAAGAAGCAATTAAACCCATGACAGCAATCTCTTGGAATCATTTTTACTTTTGTAACAACTCTTCTACTTGTGTTTTTCAAAACTCTTCACAGGCATTCTTTTCTCACCATTTTACAATAATCTGGTGGCATGAGTTGGCCTAGTGTTATTTTTCATATGTGAGATGAGTAAAGTGGCTCTTAGAGGGGTTAAATAGGGCCTGGTGTGGTGGTGGGTCATGCCTTGCAATCTCAGTGCTTTGGGAGGCTGAGGTCGGAGGATCGCTTGAGCCCAGGAGTTCGGGGCTGCAGTGAGCTATGATTGTACCACCGCACTCCAGCCTGGTGACAGAGTGAGACTCTGTCTAAAAAAAAAAGGAGGGGTAGGGGGGTGGTAAGAAAAAACCCTAAAATTATATTATAAGATTGTTTAGGATGAATCCAGGACTAAAATCTGGGTCTCCTGACTCTTAAGCAGATAAATCAGTTTTAAAACTTGATTTTTTTTTCGTATGCTAGAGGATTTCATACAAAGATGGAGGAATCACGCTGCATCCCTTTGGTGTTTACTTGATCATTTTATTCCTCTTTAGAGGTTTATCTTTAGGATCACATGTTGTGCCATCTATGATGTTAATCTTTAAGATGCTAGCTTAAAGCATTATAAAGCCAAGATTTGTTTTTTAAAGTGTCTAAAGAGAATGTCTCTTGTTAAAGTGAGACTGTCTTCTCATTTTACAAATCCTAACTGCCTTTTACAGCACACAGTGCGGTAGATGTTCGGGAGGCAGCCGCCAACAAGGCACAATCGCCCACTGTCTTCAGGGGCCTCTGGCTTAGTCCTCATGCTCCTGGATAGCACCTACCAGGAGTTCCCATCTGGGTCCAGGAGTTAGGCTTTAATACCTAGTAAGAGTCATTGAGCTGCCAACTATTATTTTGTAGCTCAGAGGTCTTGGAGCTCTATCCTTGGAGTTATACACTTAACCAGTGAAGAGCCTAACGGCCAAAGATGTAACTGCTTGACATATGAAACCACATGGTGAACTTAGTTTGTTCTACCAAGGACCTGAGGTCTTTCTTCCATCTGCATTCTGTTACTATTGCATTTTTGCTCTGGAAAATGTTCCCATTTAACGAAATTTTACTTCTAAAATCTGCATGGCATCTGAGGAGTTTGAGAAAGTACTTCTAAAATGTGTCCTGCAGAGCCTTCTACAGTGTATCTTTCGGCTTCTCCTTAGTATTTATAGAGGCATATATATATATTTTTATTATGCTTTAAGTTTTAGGGTACATGTGCACAACGTGCAGGTTTGTTACATATGTATACGTGTGCCATGTTGGTGTGCTGCACCCATTAACTCGTCATTTAACATTAGGTATATCTCCTCATGCTATCCCTCCCCCTCCCCCAACCCCAAAACAGGCCTGGTGTGTGATGTTCCCCTTCCTGTGTCTATGAGTTCTCATTGTTCAATTCCCACCTACGAGTGAGAACATGTGGTGTTTGGTTTTTTGTCCTTGAGATAGTTTGCTGAGAATGATGGTTTCTAGCTTCATCCATGTCCCTACAAAGGACACAAACTCAACCTTTTTTATGGCTGCGTAGTATTCCATGGTGTATATGTGCCTCATTTTCTTAATCCAGTCTATCATTGTTGGACATTTGGGTTGGTTCCAAGTCTTTGCTATTGTGAATAGTGCCGCAATAAACATACGTGTGCATATGTCTTTATAGCAGCATGTTTTATAATCCTTTGGGTATATACCCAGTAATGGGATGGCTGGGTCAAATGGTATTTCTACTTCTAGATCCCTGAGGAATCGTATAGAGGCATATTGGAGTCCAGTACATACACAGGTTCACAGTGTGCTAGAAGCATTGCTCTTTATTAGTTATTCTTATCACTGGCTGCAGTTTTGTGATTTCTCTCTATTAACATTGCCTTTGAATTGAAGGTCACTGTTTTATTTGTATTGCTGCTCTTCAGCCAAAAGAAAATAGCTTCATTCTGCTTTGTTCCAAGAAACTAATATTCTAGCACGCTTTATGCCTTCTGATTGGATTTCATCCAAATTGGAATAGCTCAGGCTAGTGGAAATATTTTATTTAATCCTCTAGGGTTTTTTTTTTTTTTTGACTAGCTGTTGTATCTTGATACCTTTACATCACTCAAAGAATTTAAGCTGTTCCTGCTGCCATGTCATTAGCCAGAGACCAATTTTGTACAACCCCCTTGGCTTTGGGCCTAACACTGGTATGTTCCATTTGTCCATTCCAGAAAGGGATGTACACATCACTGTGGTTTGAATTATATTTTAAAAAATAATGATGATGGTGGTTGCTCAGTGGTGCTCCTCTGATACTCTGAATTCTATTATAGATGAATGAGCTGCAAAATATTCTATAAAAAAACAATTATGTCTTAAAAGATTATAGGCTGCAGCAATTACCACTAAAAGGGTGAGAGAGCCTGTAGTTTTTGAGCACTGACAAGCAGATACATCCAGCTAATTTTTTGTGAAAACACCAGCAGAGCAAATTACTCATGAAAAATCTGTTCACAGGAATGAATTAAATGCCATGTCCAGTTTAACAGTGAACACTGACTGCAACCAAAAACCAATAGAGATAAATAATGAATGGCATTTGAATTCATTCATTTGTATGATTCCAAAAATAGCCTCAGTGCCAATAGTGTTTCTAATGTCCAAAACCCACTGTAGACATGGAGAAGGATAAAGAAGCCAATGAAAAAGAAACTAAAAAAGTGACCATTTGGATTTTATTTTTTCTCCACATTCCTGCAGCCAGTCACATTGACCTTTTATTTTTATTTTTTATTTTTAAACTTTAGATTCAGGGGATACATGTTGTGCAGGTTTGTGACAAGGATGTGTTGTGTGATGCTGAGGTTTGGGCTTCTATTGATCCTGTCACCCCAAATGTAGTTAGTGAACATAGCACCCAATAAAATGTTTTTCAATAGTGCAGTTTCTACAGTTACTGTTAATATGGAATTGGCCCAATAACAACTGGCTGAATGTATAAGTTGGATGATAGCTTGCCAGAAATTTCCCATGGCCTTGTTGGTAGGCTGGGGTAAGATATGATAATATGCTATAAAGAATTATTCTTTTAATTTCTCTCCTAGTTAGACTATACCTAATAAACTTCAGTTTTCAGTGCACAGAATTGGTCATTTATCAGCTGTGCACCTAGATTGCTAAGTGAGTTAGTCCTAGCCTAAGTAATTAACCCATTTTGGTGATGACTGAATATATGTCTAAATTCAATTAAAATGAAGAATATGGTGTAAAATTATTTTTATGCAGGAGAGCCTGCCATTACATTTTAAATAAGAGTTTCTCTTTCAGAGTTTACATATTTTTAAATGGCTAAAAAAAAAAAATCACAGTTTTTTGTGTAGGCATGATCTATCACATTTCCCTGTATAACCCCAAATGGGAAAATGGAAGTTCTAGGTTCCAAGCTTGGGTTCCTGAATTTCACTTTAATATTTTAAGGATTAAGAAAGAACCTTGAAAGGATATTCTGTTGTAGCCCAGTTTTTAGGCAGTATTGATTCAGGAAAGGCAAGCCCCAAACTGGGGCTTAGCCCAGGAGGGTTCTTGGCTTTGCCCAGGAAAGAATTCAAGGGAAAGATGGTGGTAGAAGAAAACAGCTTTATTGAAGTGGCAGTGTTATAGTTCTGTGATTGCTCCTGCAGCTTAAAGGCAGTTCTGCAGTAATATTTATACCTACTTTTAATTACATGCAAATTAAGAGGTAGTTCATGCAAAAATTTCTAGGAAGAGGGTGGTAACTTCTGCATTGTTGGATCATTGCCATGGAAAGGGGCAGAAACTCTCAGGTGTTGCCATGGCAATGGTAAACATGGCATGCTGGGCCTGTCTTTGAAAAGGTGCTTCCATTGCCTCCCTGTTTTAACCAGTCCTCAATTAGGCCTGGTGTCTGAGCCCCACCTCCTACCTCTGTATCACTCTTAATACTTTGTTATATTTTTATTAATATATCAAGGTTATGTTAATTTTGTGCACTGAAAGAGCTGTGAATTTTGCAAAAGTTTCCAAATTAACTGAGAAGTGCCACCAAGAGATATAGTCTATTCAGTTTTTCCAAAAGCTGCTTTCTTAGCACATATTCCATTTGGGCATAATTTTAGCAAGTTGACTTATAAAGCGTCTTTAAGTGGAATATTTCTTCCCCTGCCTCACAGCCAAGGCAATGGCTCTCCCTGGCACTGTGCAAACCCTGAGCCAGACGCTCTGCTCTCAACAGTTACAACAAAGTCACCAGGTAGATCTAGTTTCACTGTCTCTTTCACTGTCAAGGAGACTGAGTCTTAGAGAGGTTCTGACTTGTTCAACATCTTGCAACTAGTAAAGAGTAAAATTAAGGTTTGACTTGAGACAGCTTCTTCAGAACTCATGCTCTTAAATCCTGACCCTATAGTGTGAATACCTTGGACCCCTGCTCAGCCATAAAGTCCTCTCTTGCCCTCCACTGTCATGAGGACTCTCCAAGGTTGTATTGACTTGAAGGCTACATGAGAAAGGTGGGTGGGTGCATACTTTACAGTTGAGTTTGATAGCATAGCAAGGCTTGACAGATAATGATAACTAGCTATCTATGTGCCTAGGGTTTCTCATACATCGCATCATGAATTTTTTTACAACCTTGTGTCCAGTGTATTGATCAGAAAGGTCACAGAGACAAGAAGTGCCCCAGCAGGAATTCAGACCCATCTCTGTTTGGCTTCATAATTTATGCAAATCGATCCCAGACAGAATTCTACTTAGAAATGCCTCAAGATACCAGTTGGAAATTATCTTTCATTTCTGAAACTGGAAATTAAAAAATTATTTAAACAATGCATAATCATTGTAAAAATATGTAGGCATTGGGATATACAGTATAAATAAAAGAAAAATATCCTTTGTAGAGATCCTTTGTAGACATAGCCACCATTCATATTTCGATGTGTGTCCTTTTTGACCTTTTTCATTGTGTGGCTGAGTGGCATTTTGTCTTTTGCTATTTCCGTTGGGTTCTCTGTATTATGGCTACTTGGATATGATCTAAGGAATGTTTCTCTTTCTCCAGTAAGTGCTTTCAATGCATATATCTTAATAAACAGGTAGAAAGTTGGATAGTTTGCTCTTTCTACTAATAAGTAGGAGCCACGATAGTAGTATTGTGACAGTGGTGATAGTGGTTGGAGTGCTAGCGGAGGTGATAGTAGCAGTGGTCGTGGTGCTGATGATAGTACGTGTGAGAGATGAGTTGGTGGTGTAGGTAGTGGGAACAGTGGCAGTGGTGGTAGTGGTGATGGTAGAAGCAGTGGTAGTGGTGATAGGAGTGGTGGTGGTGATGATAGGAGTGGTGGTGGTTGTAGCAGTGTTGTTGGTAATGGTGGTAGTGTTAGGAGTGGTGGTAGTTGTTGTGGTAGGAGTGGTAGTGGTGGTAATGGTAGAAGCAGTGGGTAGAGTTGGTGATGGTGGTAGTGGTAGGAGTGGTGGTGATAGTGGTGGTAGGAGTGATGGTGGTGATGGTAGGAGTGGTGGTGATGTTTACTTGGCAAATTCTTGCTCAGGAAGAGTGTAGGAGTGTTGTTGGTGATGGTAGGTAGGAGTGGTGGTGATGGTAGAGGTGGTGGTAATGGTAGGAGTGTTGGTGGTGATGGCAAGAGTGGTGGTGATGGTAGGAGTGGTGGTGATGGTGGGAATGGTGGTGATTGCAGTAGGAGTGGTGGTAGTGGTAGTGAGTGGTGGTGGTGATGGTAGGAGTACTGGTGACTGTAGAAGTGGTGGTGGTTGTAGGAATGGTGGTGATGGTGGTGATTGTAGAAGTGGTGGTGATGGTAGGAGTGGTAGTGGCTGTGGCAGTGCTGGTGATGGTGAGAGTGATGGTGGTAGTTGTAGTGGTGATGATGGTAGGAGTGGTAGTGGCTGTGGCAGTGCTGGTGATGGTGGGAGTGATGGTGGTAGTTGTGGTGATGATGGTAGGAGTGGTGGTGGTTGTGGCAGTGCTGGTGATGGTGGGAGTGATGGTGGTAGTGGTAGTGGTGGGAGAAGTCGTAGTGGTGGTGATGGTAGGAATGGTAGTGGTGGTGGTGGTGATTGTGGGAGTGGTGGTGGTGCCATGAGTAGTGGTGGTAGTGGTGGTGGTGGTGATTGTGGGAGTGGTGGTGGTGCCATGAGTAGTGGTGGTGGTGGTACGAGTTATGGTGATGATGGTAGTGATGGTAGGGGTGGTGGTGACAGTTGTGATGGTTGGGGGGTGGTGATGGTAGAAGTGGTGGTGTTGGTGGTAGGAGTATTGGTGGTGGTGATGGCTGAAGTGGTGGTGGGGGTAGTAGGAGTGGTGATGATGATGATGACCTGACTGGTGGTGGTGGTGGCCGTATTGGTGGTGTTGGTGATGGTGGGAATGTTTGTGAGCACTTTCCATTGCACTTAAAAAGAAGTGGACAAACTCATTTCTCTTGCCTGGACAGTTGTGAGTGAAGATGCCTCCATCCCTGAGTCTGAACCATAAGCTTGGACCACATATATAAGTGATTCACTTTTCCATAGCATCTGTGAAGACATACTTATAGAAACAATGTATAGTTCTGAAAATCTGAGGGTTTAATGAAAAGTAGCAAAAATTCAGTTGGTCATTTACTTCCCTGGCACATTTGATGATTGACATTTGGTGAAAGAACACTTTATTGTGAATCTGTTTGAAGTGGTGGGGCAATGAGTATTTTGGAGGTGCCCATAATCAAGCTCTTTCTTCAGAAGCTTGTGATCCTGAGAAATTTTGTGTTTTCTGTGTTGTCTATAAACTGCAACTTAAGGATGTTTGCAAGGCCTATTGGCATCACGTGCTCTCTCTCTCTCTCTCTCACGCACACACACACACGCATGCGCACACACACACAAGCTTGCTAGAGCTTGCCAGTCATATGACACACTCAAGACCTGGTGTAAGTACTTTTTCTATTTTAGTCATTCACAACTTAACTGGTTTACTTGGCAAATTCTTGCTGGGGAAGAACACTTGCTTCAGAACCACATATCCCACTGAAATGTGTCAGCAAAGCAACAAATATGTATCAAGAACAAGGCAATAGGCTAAGTGCTGAGTGGGCAGATATCACAGTTAAATTATTGCTTGTCTTCCAAAATTTTTGTATCATCTCCAAAGGTTTGTTTTTCCTTTCATATCACAACAAAATGATTTCCCAGTCTTCTTTCCACACATTGGGCAAGCTTAAAATACAACATTTCTAAAAATCCTCTTTGGTGTTCCCTGAAAAGATCTATGAGCTATGGAAACCAAGCTTACCCTAAGCTGTTTAGCATTAAGAATTTGAGGAAACCAAATCTCCACTTTTATGCAGAAATCAAAGAGTAGCATAAGTAACTTGTAGGTTATTTTAATAATACAATAATTTTGTAAACAATAAACAGCTCAAATTTTGTAGCTGGCTTTGTAAGTAGAGAAATTGAAATAAAGTCACTCAAAATCACACTGACTGATTGATTGTCAAAACTCTTAGTTCTTCCCAGGACTTTTTAAAAAACATACTTTTAATAAAAAGTACAGATAATATTTACATATTTTGTATCCTGATTTATCTTGTAATATTAAAATATTTCCTGTTTTCCTAATTGTTCATTGACTTACTGCATACCATTCTATGAGTGGATATACCATAATTTACTTAACCATTCCCCTAGAATTGGATCTGAGGCTGTTTCCATTTTGGAGAGTTTTTTTTGTTTGTTTCTGTTGGCTACTGAATACTTCCTATGGGAAAGAGGTGGACGTGGTGGAAAATGAATTGATAGAATAGTTTGCATTTGTATAAAGCATGCAAATTTGTATTTCCAGATATGTCACAGTGAAAGGATAGAATCTTTCCTGTAGAAAGAACACAGAGGTTAAGAATATAGGTTTTGGAGTCAGACAGACCTTGGCTTTATTTCTGAATCCACATAACTGTGTGACTAATTTTGAAAATTTTCTCGAACTTTCTATAAGCTTCTTTCTTTCATTTCCAAAGTGGGAGTAACCACTCTCTCGTGGGATCATTGTGAGGATAAAATGATTGATATGTAGCAATGTGCTTGGCACATAGCAGTGCTCATAAAATTGTTGCTATTTTCTATGTTTATCTTATTCCTCATCCAAACTGTAACACTCATTCATTTATTTTAGTTTGATTTTTTTGAGTCGGGGTCTGGCTCTGTTGCCCAGGCTGGAGTGCAGTGATGTGATATCGGCTCACTGCAACCTCTGCCTCCTGGGCTCAAGCCATCCTCCTACCTCAGCCTCCTGAGTAGCTGAGACTACAGGCGTGTGTCACTGCACTTGGCTACTTATTTGTATTTTTTGTAGAAATGGGGTTTTGCTATGTTGCCCAGTCTGATCTTGAATTTCTGAGCTCAAGTGATGCTCCTGCCTTGGCCTCTCAAAGTGCTAGGATTATAGACATGAGCCTCTGTGCCCAGCCCCATTCATTTATTTATTCAGCATTCACCAGTGGCTGTTGCATGCCTGACACTGAGCTTTTTACTGGCAAGACAGAGCTGAATGAGGCTGTGTTTCTGCCTTGTGGATCCCCCAGTATCCAGGGACCCAGATCAAACAGATAGGCAAGACCCCTGTGTCACGGAGGAAACTACAGGGGAAGGTACTGCTTTGGGAGTGGCTCTTGGGAAAAGTAATAGCAAAAGCCCAGAGGTTAGCACCGAAAAAGATCAAGTTCAGACTCTGCCTTTGCTATTTTCTTGCTGTGAGGCCTTGGGTAAATTACTTAAAGTTTCTGAATTTCACTTTCTGCATTTGTATTCTTACTCTGCAAAGTGTTGTGAAAGAATATACATATAGCTCTGGGCATGTAGCAGATGCTCAAAAATGATTATTATGCTTGAAGTCTTCAGTGCCCCAATCATGGCTGATTTTCATGAAAATAAACTCAACAAACTCCAGTGTTCTGAAATGTCTGAGACTGGCTCAGCTGTGCTCAGGTTAGTCTGAAATACATTTTATTACAGTCTAATTCTCTGCAAAGTGGTCATCCACACATCTTGTGTATGGTAATGTGGAATTAGAATATTCAGCTCTCAGTGAATTTCATTTATTGGCCATTATGTAAAAACCAAAGAAAAATGACTTATGAAGACATTGATTGCTTTGTAGCTTTAAAAGACCTCCTTAGAATTAGAATGGCTACACAGCCTCTAAGAATATGGTCTACACTATATATTTTGTCATCCTGCAGACACAACAAGGAAGTGGGAATCGAATCTATTTAGCAGGATGTCTTTATGTGTGAAGATTTCTTGCTGCTTATAAATGCTTATTTGATTATTTATTCATAGATATAGAAAGCACTTTTCTTTCATTCTGTTTCCTCATTGTCACCCAAGTAAGAGTCACTTATTACTGATGTGCTAAAGAATAACAGATGAGCATTGACCTTCAATTAAACATTAGCAAATATGTTGCAGTAGCATAAAAAATAACATCCACTTGCTTCAGAATAGAATGAGATGATGCTTAACATTTCTATTGCTGAGGTCCTACAAGTAAAACATGTTTGTTTCATAAATAGAATTTATATTATCAATTGGAACATATTCTTCAATGCATTATTTTGCCTACTGCTTAGGAATATCTTCCTTTGTTAATTTTGAGTTATTTTATTTCTACTATTCAGCCATGCTTATAAAATGCAAGTCATATTTCTAATATTATTGCTGTTCTTTTAGTCAGATGGGTTCAACCACATTTATTCAGCACCTGCTATGTGCAGTACACTTGTCAGCATGCTGGTCTTAAACCTTGAGCTATAAACTGAAATCACATTAACAATGTCTAGAGAAAGACTGCAGAGATTTAAAATAAAGAAAAGTCAGAGAAAGGTGAGTTATGTTTTTTTTGACCACTGGGCCAAACAGTGAAAGGAGAATAGGAGAGGAGGTTTTCTTAAAGGCACAACAGGATTCACACAAATGAGGAGACTTAGAACAGAAAGGTCACAAATACAGCACTTGTAGTGCTGGGGATATGTATTAATATTTTAAAAAAACAACATATTTTGAAATAATTCTGCACTTAAAAGTCACAAGTATGCTACAAAGAGCTCACATATCTCCCTCGTTCTCATGCCTGAGCTGGCTCCTTCCTGAGCTGGATACATACGCCCGTTATCAGAACGTTTTTCTGACCACTTGAGGGCAAGCTGCAGTTTTATTTTTATTTTTATTTTTTGAGTCAGGGCTTGCTCTGTTGCCCCGGCTAGAGTGCAGTGGCATGACATCGGCTCTCTGCAACCTCTGCCTCCTGGGCTCAAGCCATCCTCCCACCTCAGCCTCCTGAGTAGCTGGGACTACAGGCATGTGCCACTGCACCTGGCTAATTTTTTGTAGAGATGGGGTTTTGCCATGTTCCCAGGCTGGTCTTGAACTCTTGAGCTCAAGCAATCCTCCCACCTTGGCTTCTCCAAGTGCTGGGATTACAGGTGTGAATCATGATGCCCTGTCACTCCTAAGTACCCCATTGTGTATGCCCCCAAACAAGGACACTCTCCCATGCACCCAACCTGCAGCTTCCTCCAAGTCATGAAGTCAGCATTAATACAACACTCTTCTCCAGTCTACAGACTCCATTCCATTTCACCAAGCATCCCAGTGATGCTCCTTTCTCCTTTCTGACTCAGGAACACACATTGCATGCAGTTGTTGTAGCTCTTAAGTTTCCTCCTGCTTGAGCAGTTCGTTAGTACTCAATCGTTCTCTGTCTTCCATGTCCTTGAAAGTTTTCAGGAGTGTAGACCTTACATTTTGTTGGATGACCTTCAGCCTGGGTCTTTCGGATGTTTCCTCATGACCGGGTTCAGGTCATGCAACCCTAATGAGAACCTCTTGAAAATGATACTGTGCGTTCACATCAGGTGTCACACAGTGTGGACCCCTCCCGCCACTGTGGATGGTAACCTTCATCACCCCATCATTCTGTGGCTGCCTGGTTTCTCCAGCACTAAGTTCCCATGTTTCCTTTGATATCTAAATAGTATGTTGTGGGCATGATAGTCTATGATTATTCTGATGCCTACTCCCCATCAAACCTCCATTTCATCATTCATTTCCATTAGTCAGCATTCTATTAGCATGGATGTGTTGGTTCCTATTCTATTCAATGGGCTGTACTTTATTACTATTATTTTGATTCTCAAAGTGTCTCAGGTTTGGACCAGAGGAACTTCTTCAAGGTGTCTCTTGTGTTCTATTGACATGTCCCCATCTGCCTTTGAATACTTCTTAATTTTTTTGTACAACAGGATGCTGTAGACACATCTGTACTGCCCCTGCCTCAGCCCTGGCCTCAGCCATTTCTCCCAGGAGCTCTGGTTCCTTGTATGGATGGATGGAGTTTAGAAATCAGGATCTGTGTGCTTGGTGTGCTCATGGCTACTGAGGTGTCATTACTTATAGGCCTTCTCAGTAGGTAAATATAGAAAATGTGTGTAAATGCACTCATATGCTTCCTTCGCTATTTCCATATTCACCTGTGAGTTTGCATATTAAAAACTAGTAGTTTATGCTAATGTTTCCTATTCCAGTGCAAGTCATTAGAATCTTTTCTACCCTTCCCCCTTTCCATGATTATATGAACATTCTCCAATAATCAGGAATCTGGCCCTCTTTATCTTCATATCCTTAACTCCTTCATTTGTTTACATATTTCTCCATGTAACCTATCTCCCATTTATCCCAGCTGTCTTCCCCATCTGTTGCTGTGTTCCCCTCAATGTGCCTCATCCCCAGGCCCTGGCAGGCTCATCACCACGTGTGCTGCCAGATGCCTCTGTGTGGCAGCCCCTGCATCCTTGGTGCTGGTGAGTGGACCACCTGTGTGCTCCTGTACAGGCTCCCAACTTACCAATGGGGCCGCTCACTGCCACCTTTTCTGCACAGGAAGAGACGAGAAGGCCCATTTATGATTTTGACCCCAGTCCCAGGCACTGAGTTCTTCAAGGGCCAGGAATGTGACTTGTTGATCTTTGTAGCCCAACAGTCTAGCAATGTTGATTTACCCAAAGCATTATTAATTGAGTGACAGATGAAATAATAAATAAACATGGCATTTGAAAGGTGAAAAAGTCTTGTCAATCATTTTCAAACACTCTCCTCTCCCAGAGGAACCATTTCCACATCATCTGTATCACATGGACAAAGATTGCCAATCTGGGTAAAGCTTCCTCCTTCCCCCATTGAGGTGTGAAATGGACTGAATGCTTGTGCTCCCTAAATTCCTGTGTTGAAACCCTAATTCTAATGCGATGGTATTAGGAGGTGGAGTGTTTGGGAGGTGATTAGGTCATGAGGGTGGAGGCTTCATGAATGGAATTAGTGCCCTTATACGAAGAAACCAGAGAGGTAGCTTGTTCCCTTTCTGCCATGAGAAAAAGCAGCTGCCTGAAACGTGGCAGCTCTCACCAGAACCTATGCTGGCAGCTTGATCTTCGACTTCCAGCCTCCAGAACTCTGGGCAATACATTTCTGTTGTTTAATCTACCCAGTCTATGGTACTCTGTAATAGCATCACCAACCGACATAGACAAGGAGGTCTCTGATGCACCTTTTTGTTGTTTTGTAACAATCATGATTTAAAAACATCTTGTGGAGGTATTGGTCATATTTAGCACATGAGGCTCTGGGACTTAAGTGGGGTAAGTGATTTGTCAAATAGAATATGCACAGTTAGTGTCAAAGCCGTTGCCCGGATCTGGGTACCCTGATCCTTAGTGTTGTGATTCTGTGTTCTATCCAATGTCATGCCTCCCCCACATGACTCAGGAGCAGAGTGCTGGCATGGAGAAGAGACAGGGTGGCTGAGCGAGCTCACTTATGGTCCTGAATACCAGGGGCAGAGGTTTGGACTTTGTTCTGCAGCGCACATGGAGTCCTCCAGGCCTTTGAGAAGATTTTGTATTACAGGTTGAGTACCTCTTCTATGAAATGCTTAGAACCAGAAGTGTTTTAAATTTCCAATATTTTGGGGGGTTTTAGAGTATTTGCACATATATAATGAGATATCTTCAGGATAGGACCCAAGCCTATACATGAAATTCATTTATGTTTTTTGTACATCTTATACACATAGTCTGAAGTTAACGCTATGCAAAATTTCAAAATAATTTTGCACATGAAACAAAATTTTGGCTGCATTTTGACTATGACCCGTCACATGAGGTCAGATGTGCAGTTTTCTACTTATGGCATCATGTCAGCACTCAAAAGCTTTCAGACTTTGGGGCATTTCAAATTTCAGATTTTTGGATTAGAGATGCTCAACCTGTAACATGTATGAAAGTGCTTGGAGTAATGCCAGGTTCTAGCAGATGTTTTTGCATTTTGTTTATCAGCTTGTGCACATCTGAGTGTTAGGAAGGTCGCTCTGTTGGTGATGTGTGGAAACCATGGAAGGAGTGAGAGAGATCAGACAGAGAGTAATTCATCCTTGCAGAAGTGCTGACAACTCGGGCTAGGCTGGGGACAGTAGAAATGGAGAAGATGTGAATATGTCAAATACCACGAGAGACTCACGAGGATGTGAAATGTAGGAAGGGGACAAAGCAAAGGATCTGAAGCTGAAGGCCTGGATGGGATAGTGCCCTTGCAAGGCAGAGTAACATCTTGCTAGGTAGGTAGGCAGTGAACTTGATTTAAGACTTGATGAGATTTATGTCTTATATTCATTTAGTTGCTAATGAAAAGGATTTAAAGTGGCTTATGAAAAACATAAAAAAACAAGAAACAAAACAAGGGAATCTAAAGTTCATTGTAATCAGACTCATTTTTTGAACAATTTGCTGTGAGCCAGGCAGCATCCCAGGTGCAGGTCACTATACAATGACCAACACTGTGTCATGGCGCCTCTTGTGTGGATGCATGAGGCCTTGAACATGTGGAGGTGAGGGTGTGGTGGCTTGTCAAGGAGAACCTGCCTGTGCTTAGGGAGCTGGTGGAGCAGGGAGCCTACCTGCAGGGTTGGCAGGACCGGAGGAGATACTGGGATCTGATGGATGAGGTAGACTTAGCCTGGGCTGGATGTGGAGGAAGAATGACTCTGGCAATGGGAACAGCAGATTCTCCTGAACCCTGCTCCCAGCTCCTCTCACAGCAACTTTGCTTTTCTGGTTCCCTATGTCCGATCTGTCAGAGAACATCTCAAATCCGACCACTTTTCACCACCTGCGCTTTCATTTCCAGGTCCTGGCTACCCTTAGGTCTTGCCTGGGGAACATCAATGACCCTGTGACTGGTCTCTGGGCTCTGCTCTTTTACAATGTGTTCCCAACAGAGCAGCCAGGTGATCCTGTTAAACATGAGCTAGATCATGCCAGTCCTCTGCTCAGAACCCTTCAGTGGCTCTCATCTCCCTTGGGGTAAACACCAAAGTCTGCTACAATGGCCTATGTGGCTCTGAAGATCAAGCCCACTCTCATACCCTCTCTCCCTCATCTACTACTTTCCCCTTGGTTCACCCTACTAGGAGTGTTCCTTACATATTAAAGTGTGTATTTGCCTCATGGCTTTTGCACTCTCTGGGAGCTCCCTCTGCCTGGAATATCCAATTAGTGAATAGGGGTGTCATTCGGGGAACCCAGAGAGCCAGCTTTTGTCAGAATGGAGGTAGGATGCACCCTTATGCTAACCAGAGGTGGTGCTGGCAGGGCAAGTGGAAGCTCCCAGTAGCTGAGAGCTGTGAGAGAGGCTGGAGTAGGAGATAATTTAGAAATTGGAGATCATCACTGAAGCTATGCAATTGCTGGTGACCATCCTGATGCCCTTTTCTAATCATAAGATAAAAAATAACTGGGGCTGAGCATGGTGGCTCACGCCTGCAATCCTAACACTTTGGGAGGCCGAGGCAGGAAGATCACTTGAGGCCAGGAGTTTGTGATCAGCCTGGACAACATGACAAAACCCCATCTCTGAAAAAAAAAATTTAAAAAGCAGAGCCTGGTGGCACATACCTGTAGTCCAAGTTACTTAGGAGGCTGAGGTGGGAGTATTGCTTGAGCCCAGGAGTTTGACATCAGCCTGGGCAACATAACAGGGCTCCTTAGCTACAAAAATAAAAATAAAAAAAGCTAGGTGTGGTGGCACATGCCAGTAGTCCCAGCTACTTGGGAGGCTGAGGCAGGAGGATCGCTTGAGCCCAGGAGTTGGAGGCTGCCACTGCATTCCAGCATAGGTGACAGAGCAACACTTTGTCTTAAAAAAGAAAAAAAAAGAGAGAAAGTAGTAGCTTTTGATGCCTACCCTTTTGAAGGTGAGTGGCAGCATGGAACATAGCTAATCACAGATATTTTCTGCGATAACTTATATCTTTCTTTGGAATTCACTGTGAGTGTAATTTTTGGCAGCCAGTTTACCATTTCCAGTGTTTAATTTTGTTGGATCAGCCTGCGCTCTCTGAGAACTTTTCATCTGGCAGTGGATGGGTATAGTTTAGAATATGGTGGATAGCAGAGGGAGGCTAGACTGGGTTTTTAATTTTTTTTGGAATTTGAAGACAGTGCTTAATGATATTACTAATAATAGACAATCCTTTTGAACACATACAAAATGCCAGGCATGATGCTAATTGCTTTGCATAGATTATCTCAGTTAATCCTCAGAAGGCCTTATGATGTAGATACTATTATTAACCCCATTTTTTACAGAGCAGGAAACTGAAGCTTAGAAAGGTTAAGTAACTTGAAGGTCAGACAGCTAGAAGTGGCAGAGGTGGGGAAGACTCAGGTTTTCTCCTAACCCCTATGGAACAGATCTGGATGCATCTTTACATACATTATGACTGTATCAGGATGCTATTTTAGAACACATAATTCAAGAACTTTATTGCGTTTCACCAAAGTTTTGATTTTGTAGAACAAGAAATAAAGTATTAAGAAAGAAATCATATAAACATTTGAACGCTTGGTGTCAGTTAAGGAATGGGTACATTTCAGCATTATCCTAGAAGGTCTTATCAGGCCAGACTCTACTGCGTATTTTAAGTGGGGTGTCTGAATTAGCTTCTGCAGTAACTTCTGAAGAAGGTGGCACAGACTGAGAGATCTGCTAATTACTTGGGACTTGATCTTGGACAGATGACCTTTTCTAGTATCCTTAGAATGAATTGTTGGTAAATGCTTAGTTTCCGGCTATAGGTTTCAATGCATATGACAAGTTTATGTGAATGTCTTTCACTTAACAGCCTCAGAGACACAAGTTTTCTGCCCTTTCCTCTACCTTTTTGGGACCCAGGTGTGTGCCTTGGGAATGGGCCAGTGCAGGAAAAGAGTTAGGTTGAGAGGCACGCTGTGACTCATGTTACTCTCTGCTGGTGTATGATAAAAGGTTTTGTTCAAAATGACAAGCTTGTTGAAAAATGTGTTTTAATTTAGACTTGAGTCTTATCGAAATGGCCTCCTTAGAAAATGGCTTATAGAGCCATAAGAACATAAAGGAGTCTTTGTGATCTAGGGTAGAGACTCTTAAAACATTTTCTCATTATGACGTAAAAAAGGATAATGTTTGTATTGCACACTGGGGTTAAGTAGTAAGTGCTCATGGCCCGAGGTGATGGCTTGGGATGTTGAGCTGCCTTGGGCCCACCCACTGCCCCAGGGTGAAGAGGATCAAGGTCTTAGTGCACTAGCCTGCCAAGGACCACCAGAAGGGAAGCTCTGATGAATGGTATCTTAAAACCCAGTCCTTCCATTTCTGCAGAAATAGTTTTATGTGAAACTTTCTAATTCTTTGGGCATTGGATTTTGAAGATAAGTTCTCATTAGAATGGATTCCAATTTCTGCAGTTTATTTAAAATTTTTTAACAGTTTGATACCAACACTTTATTAGCAAAGAAAATGGAATCAACTTTTTTTTTTGGTGCCAGAAAGCATAGTTTTTTTTCCATAAGAAACAAAGGTGGAATATATGTAATGGGTGAGAGACAACCAAAACTTGCCACATAAGGGCCAGTGAGAGAATCCCAACAAATAGCAAAAGTTCATTTTTCCATGACCTATTCATCACAGAACAATTAAAAAGCTACACAAAGATCAGTCTTACCTGCATTTTAGAAATACATTTCAATTCACCCATGGATCCAACATGGGTGATCTATCTATCTATTCTTTTAGATAGACAGAGAAGTTTTTATTAACTAACTTAGGAAAAAACACTACCTGTTAAACTCATAAACAATTGTTTAAAGAGTATCTACAGAATCCTTCTCTCAATGTTTCCATGTAAAAGAAATGAAAATCAATAGTCCAGAGATCCTCGTTAATAATGAGCCACTGATAAACACAACATATTTATAACTTGTATAACATTTTATTTATGTGCATTCTTTGAGCATTATGCAATATGTAATTAAAATTTTTTTAAATAAAAAAATTTAATATCTTTATTTTTTGTCAATTGATTTTTCCCCACTTAAAAAATTTGCAAATAATAATTGTGCATATTTATGGGGTACATAGCGATGCTTCAGTACATATAATATATAGTGATCAGATCGGGGTAATTAGCATATCCTTCATCTCAAACATTTATTTTCTTGTTTTTTTTTGAGACGTAGTTTTCCTCTGTTGCCCAGGCTGGAGTGCAGTGGCAAGATCTCGGCTCACTGCATCCTTCATCTCCTGAGTTCAAGTGATTCTCCTGCCTCAGCCTCCCGAGTAGCTGGGATCACAGGCGCCTACCACCATGCCTGGCTAATTTTTGTATTTTTAGTAGAGACGGGGTTTCACTATGTTGGTCAAGCTGGTCTTGAACTCCTGACCTCAAGCAATCCACCTGCTTCGGCCTCCCAAAGTGCTGGGATTACAGGTATGAGCCACCGCGCTCAGCCTAAACATTCATTATCTTTTTGTGTTGGGAACATTCAACATCCTTCTGACTATTTGAAACTCTAAAATATACTATTGTGAACTATAGTCATTCTCTATTGCTGTAGAACACTAGAACTTATTCCTCCTATCTAGCTGTAATTCTGTAACTTTTAACAAATCTCTCCCTATCCTTCACTTCCCCCTACCCTTCTCAGCCTCTAATATCCTCTATCCTACCTCTTACTTCTATGACATCAACCCTGATACAGTTTGGATGTTTGTCCCCTTCAAATTTCATGTTGAAATGTGATCCCCAGTGTTGGAGATGGGCCTGGTGGGAGGTGTTTGGGTCATGGGGTGGATCCCTCGAGAATGGCTTGATTCTCTTCCCATGGTAATGAGTGAGTTTTCACTCTGTTAGTTCACATGAGAGCTGGTTAAAAGAGCCTGGCATTTCTTGCTTGTTCCCTCTCTTGCCACGTGATGTGCCTGCTCTCCCTTAGCCTTCTGCCATGATTGTAAGCTCCCTGAGGCCCTCACTGGAAGCAGATGCCGGCACTAAGCTTCTTGTAAAGTCTGCAGAACCAGGAGCTAAATAAATCTGTTTTCTTTATAAATTACCCAGCCTCAGGTATTCCTTTATAGCAATGCAAAACGGATTTAAGCAAACTCATTTTAGCTTCCACATATGAGTGAAAACATGTTTAACTTTCTGTTCCTGGCTTATTTCACTTAACATAATGTCTTTCAGTTCCATTCATGTTGCCAAGAATGACAGGATTTCATTCTTAATGGCTGAATAGTATTTCATTGTGGATATATACCACATTTGCTTTATCCATTCATCTGTTGTTGGACACTTAGATTGATTCCATATCTTGACTAATATGAATAATGCTGCAAGAACATGGGGGTGTAGATGTCTCTTTGAGATGCTGATTTCCTTTCTTTTGGATAAATGTGCAGTAGTGGGATTGCTGGATCATATGATTGTTCTATTTGTAGTTTCTTGAGGAACTTCCATACTGTTCTCCATTGTGGCTGTACTGGTTTACATTCCCACCAACAATGTATAAGAGTTCCTTTTTCTTCACATCCTTACAAGCATTTGCTGTTTATTTTATTTTTTTGTCTTTTTGATAATAGCTATCCTAACTGGGGTGAGATGATACCTCATTGTGATTTTGATTTGCATATACCTGATGATCAGTGATGTTGAGCATTAAAAATACATTTTTGGCCATTTTTATGCCTTCTTTTGAGAAATGTCTGTTCGGATTATTTGCCCATTTTTAAATTAGATTGTATTTCTTTTGTTGAGATGATTCAGTTCCTTGTATATTCTGGATAGTAATCCCCTGTTGGATGGGTAGTTTGCAAACATTTTCTCCCATTCTGTAGGTTGTCTTTTCACTCTGTTGATTGTTTATATCTTTTATTTTTTTGAGAAAGGGTCTCACTCTATTCCCCAGACTAGAATGCAGTGGCATGATCACAGATCACTGCAGCCTCGACTTCCCCAGACTCAGGTGATCCTCCCACCTCAGCCTCCTGAGTAGCTGGGACTACAGCCATACACCACCATGCCTGGCTAATTTTTGTATTTTTGTGTAGAGATGGTGTTTCACCATGTTTCCCAGGCTGGTCTTAAACTCCTGAGCTCAAGTGATCCTCCTCGTTTAGCCTCCCAAAGTGCTGGGATTACAGGTGTGAGCCATTGGGCCTGGCCTTGTTGATTGTTTTCTTTGCTGTGCAGAAGATTTTTAATTTGATAAAATCTCACTTGTTTAGTTTTGCTATTGTTGTCTGTGCTTTTAAAATCTTATTCATAAAATGTTTTCCCAGGCTCATGTCCTCTGTTTTCTTCTCATAATTTTATCATTTTTGGTCTTACATTTAGGTCTTTGATTGACTTAGACTAGATTTTCATATAAGGTGAGAGACAGGGGTCTACTTTCATCCTTCTGCATATGGATATACAGTTTTCCCAACACCATTTATTGAAGAGACCTTCTTTTCCCCGATTAGTGTTTGGAACCTTTGTCAAAAATCCAAAAATCAGTTGACAGTATATATGTGGATTAATTTCTGGATTCTCAATACTGTTCCATCGGTCCGTGTATCTAATTTTATGCCAGTACCATGTTGTTTTGGTTACTACAGCTTTGTAGTATATTTTGAGGTCTGGTAGTGTGATACCTCCAGTGTTGTTCTTTTCGCTTATGATTACTTTGGTTATTTGGGGTCTTTTGTAGTTCCATACAAACTTTAGGATTTTTTTTTCTGTTTCTGTGAGAAATGTCATTGGTATTTTGATAGAGATTGCACTGTTATTTTAACAATATTAATTCTTACAATCCATCAGTATGGGCTGTCTTTTCATTTGTTTGTATCCTCTTCAATTTCTTTCATCAATGGTTCATAGTTTCCCTTGCAGAGATCTTTCACTTTCTTGGTTAAATTTATTTCTAGGTATTTTAATATTTTTGTAGTTATTGTAAATGAAATTTCCTTATTAATTTATTTTTCAGCTAGTTTATTGTCCATGTATAGAAATGCCACTGGTTTTTGTATATTAATTTTGTATCCTGCAACTTCACTGAATTCATTTATCAGTTCTAAGAGTTTTTTTGCTAGAGTCTTTAGGTTTTTCTAGATATAAGAGCATGCCATCTGCAAATAGGGACAATTTAACTTCTGCCATTCCAATTTGAATGTCTTTTATTTCTCTCTCTTATCTAATTGCTCTGGATAGGACTTCCAGTGCTATGTTGAATAAGACTGGTGACAGTTGGGCATCCTTGTGCTGTTCCATTTATTAGAGGAAAAGCTTTCAGCATTTCCCCATTCAGTAAGATGTTCACTGTGTGTTTGTCAGATATGCCATTTATTACATTGAGGTACTTTCCTTCTATACCTAATTTGTTGAGAATTTTTTTATTATGAAGGGATGTTGAATTTTATCAAAAGCTTTTTCTGCATCTATTGAGATGATCATATGATTTTTGCCCTTCATTCTATTGATGAGATGTATGATGTTTATTGATTTGCATATTTTGAACCAACTTTGCATTCCTGGGATAAATCCCACTTGATCATGGTATATTATCTTTTTGATGTGTTGTTTGATTCTGTTTGCTGATATTCTGTTGAGAATTTTTGTGTCTCTCTTCATCAGAGATGTTGGCTTCTTTTGTTGTTGTGTCCTTGTCTCATTTTGGTGTCAGAGTAATGTTAACCTTGTAGAATGAGTTAGGAGGAATTCCTTGCCTTTTAATTTTTTGGAATAGTTTAAGAAGAATTGGTATTAATTATTCTTTAAAGGTTCAACAGAGGGTGTGGGATAGGGGTAGGGAGTGCATACCTTATGCTTCTAATCTGGAGCAATGCAGCTGTGCAGATTCCTGGCAGCTCTCCAAACTGGACTCAGGGCTTGCAAGAACTGTGAGATTCTCCTTTTGCAAGGACTGTAGGTGTTTGCTCTGTCAATAGGAGTTGATGAGGTCCTTCTGTTTATCTTTTCCATGCAATAAGAAGTCCCTCCTGACTCTAGGCAGATTCAATCTGAGCAGGGGATACAGGGCTGCAGAGGCTGAGTGCCTGCATGCTGCCTTTCGGGACTGCCATTCATCACAGTTGCATCTTCACTCCCCCACCGTACTCCAGCACCCTCCCTTCAACACTCCAGTCAAATCTTACTGTTTATTCATTGCCTTGGTCCTTTTTTTTGGTGGGGGTAGGGGGGCAGGCAGAATGCCAGGCATCTCTAATCAACCATCTGCTGACAGCACTCTTCCAAATGATCTGGAGTTTATTTTTATTTTTAAGAAAAAATTGTATTACACAGATTCTATATTTATACCTTGTGCTAGTAGACTTAAGGTCATTAAAATATAATGGAACCCCTACTTTACAACAGAAGTGGATATATAGTCATCTATAGCATGGTAGAATTCGAACATCATTTCTATGGCTTTAGTAACTGTGACTGGCTCTATCTGGATGTGCAATTTCTGAGGAAATGTTAAAATCAAAACTTGGGCACTGATTTTTTTTAAAAAAGGAATTATATAAAACTCACCAAAATTATAGTTTTTTTCCCCAAAATGCTCATTGTGCTTTTAAAATAATTAATATTAAGTATCCCTCTGTGTGAAGACCATAATTATGACCATCATATCACTATGTCAACAATGACCTTTGAGAGTTAAAAGAATAAAAGATAGGAGAGCCATCTTGTTGGTGCAAAGAAGATTCTTAGAAGTACCAACTGAGAGATGAAAGTGCTGGCCTAGAAACTAGTAACCTTGTCATGATGTCATTAAGGCAAAGGTTCACTACAACTGGAGCTAAGAGACACCGGGGTTATCTATTTTGCATTTCATGGTTCTTTTTTCCTCTCTCTCATCATTTTGGGTTTCCAGCTGAGACGTTACAACAAAGATTAGAAGACCTGGAACAAGAGAAAATCAGCCTGCACTTTCAACTTCCTTCAAGGCAGCCAGCTCTTAGCAGTTTCCTGGGTCACCTGGCAGCACAAGTCCAGGCTGCCTTGCGCCGTGGGGCCACTCAGCAGTGAGTACTTGTTATTGTCACCATTTTCCCCTCATGTTTCTTCCTACCTCTCAGCTCCCACATAGTGAAGAGCTGGGAGGAGCTTAGCTGTAGAGACCCTTGGCTGCCTTTCCTGGGAAGGGCCCTTTGTTGGTTGGGAAGGTGGGGATTCTTCCAGAGTGAGAGATGGCCCATGTGGGTCATGCATCTCTAGAAAGAAGACTTTTCTGCCACTTGACAGAGAGAGAACCTTCTCAAGTGCAGCTGCATCCCAGGTCTGAAGCATCTCTTGGGAAACTACCCTTCTAAGAAGGTGGGGGTAATTTCCTCTTGTTGAGGCAGCTTGGTGTCCTGTGATCATATTAAGCCTGTAAGATAAACAGATGGTCCCCTCTGACCGAGCGATGAAAATCCATCCTCCTCCTAACTCTGCCCTCCAGCTCCTGAGCAACATTTGCTATTTGTGTCACCCAAGGCTCTTCTGAGATTAGTAATATATAGAGAGCAGTTGCTGCTTCTAATCCAGTGGCTTGTGGTCCTGGCTGCATGTTTGAATAACTTAGAAAGATTTAAAACCTACCAATGTCCAGGCTCCTCCCCAGGCAAGCTAAGTCAGAATGTCTAGGTGTGGGAGGCAAGGGTGGCTCCCAGATATTGGCATGCTTAAAAAGGCTGAGAACCACTGCTCCATCTACCTTTGTGTTCCCTTTCTCCCTAGGTAAAGGTCTGAGAGGGAACAGGTGTTTTATGAATGCTATGAGCCTCATCACAATTCAGGTCTGGTTCTACTTAGTTATCAACATGGCCACAACAATTCCACTTTATTTCCCACTTCCAATTGGTCCTGACAATCACAAGATTTTCTGGCCTATTCCTATTAAGTGTACATGGCATTATACATTTAGTTTATCTTGATACCTCCCTGAAGCCTGCCTGCACAGTGAGACCAATTACTTTCAGTTTTGCCAGTAGCATGTAGCAGAGTGAATGGCACCTGGTAGGTGCTTCCTTATAACTATTTGCTTAGTGAACTTTTTCATGGTTCTCCTCAATAGAGAGTGAATTTCACCTCGCCATTTTCATTCTTTTCTAATCTGACATTGAGACATCATTGCAACATTGCGTGTTCCTCTTTCACACATGAGGCCACTCCCAAATTGACTTTCTCTGTAATTCTCTCATTCTTTTATCTTTGGGGTTATTTCTTGTCGTCTACTCCAGTCTTGGGAAAATTTTAGCATGTAAAAATAGGGCACAAAGATTGAGGCACAATAAATTTAGCTAATTTATTATGTTTCTATTTATTTAACAAACACTTTCATAACAGTTACTAAATGCTTTAGAAGTTACTCATTTAATTTATTTCCATTTTTGAAAATTGTGGTAAAATACACATAACATAAAATTCACCATCTTAAGTGATGGTGATTAAGTGATTAAGCCATTGTTAAGTATACAGTTCAGTGGTATTGAATACATCATAATGTTGTGCAATCATCACCACCATTCATCTCCAGAACTTTTCCCTCTTCCCCAACTGACACTCTGTACCCATTAAGCAATAAATCCCCATCCCTTCCCCTCTTCCAGTCCATGACAACCACATTCTAATTTCCATTTCTCTGAATTTGACTACTCTGTGTACCTCATAGAAGTGACATCATACAATATTTGCTCTTTTGTGACTGACATTTCTCATAGTATAGTGTCTTCAATGTTCATCCATCTGATAGCATGTGTCAGAATTTCCTTTCTTTCAAGGCTGTATAATACTCCATTGTATGGATAGACTACAGTTTGCTCATTCATTCATTAAAATAACTCATTTAATGTTCATGACAATTCTAGGGGGTAGTATTATTTTATATATTGATATCTACATGTATAGAGATCTGTATCTACATCTATACCTGAATTTTAGGATGAGGAAACCAGGCCCAATAGAAGCTAAGAAACTTAGGCAGATCCACCAGCAGGTGAGTGCTGAGGGAGACACAAACCCAACTGTCTGGCTTGCATCTTGGCCCTGAATCAGTGCACTGTGCTGCCTTTTAAGTCTGGGCTGGCAAAGGCTGCTATATTATTATCTCTTTAGCCATACCTGCAATTTGGATGGAGAGTGTATTAGTCCATTCTCACATTGCTATAAAGAAATAACTGAGACTGAGTAGTTTATAAATGAAAGAAGTTAATTGTCTCATGGTTCTACAGGCTGTACAGGGAGCATGATGGTAGCATCTGCTCAGCTTCTGGGGAGGCCTCAGTAAACTTACAATCATGGTGGAAGGTGAAAGGGGAGCACACACATTGCATTGCCAGAGTAGGAACAAGAGAGAGAGAGAAAAGAGGGAGGTGCCACACACTTTTAAACAACGAGATCTCATGAGAACTCTATCATGAGAATAGCACCAGAGGATGGTGCTAAACCATTCATGAAGTATCCACCCCCATGATGCAGTCATCTTCCACCAGGCCCTGCCTCCAACACTTGGGATTACAATTTCACTTGAGATTTGGGTGGGGACACAGATCCAAACCATATCATTCCACCCATGTTCTCCCCAAATCTCATGTTTTTCTCACATTGCAAAATACAATCATCCCTTCCCAATAGTCCCCCAAAGACTTAACTCATTTCCAGCATTAACTCAAAAGTCCAAAGTCTCATCTGAGACAAGGCTAGTCCCTTCTGCCTGTGAGAGTCTGTAAAATATAAAACCAGTCAGTTACTTCCAAGATATAGACATTGGGTTAATACTCCTGTTCCAAAAGAGAGAAACTGGTCAAAAGAAAGGGGCTACAGGCCCCATGCAAATTGAAATGCAGTAGGGCAGTCATTAAATCTTAAAGCTCCAAAATAATCTCATTTTGACTCCATGTCTCACATCCAGAGCACACTGGTGCAAGGAGTGGGCTCCCATAACCTTGGGCAGCCCTGCCCTTGTGGCTTTGCAGGGTTCAGATGCTGCAGCTGCTCTCACAGGCTGGCATTGAGTACCTGCAGCTTTTCCATGCTGAGGATGCAAGCTGCCAGTGGATCTGCTATTCCAGGGTCTGCAGGATGGTGGCCCCCTTCTCACAGCTCCACTAGGCAGTGCCCCAGTGGGGACTCTGTGTGGGGTTCCAACTCCACATTCCCCCTCCATATTACCCTAGTAGTGGTTCTCCATGAGGGGTCCTGCCCTGCAGCAGACTTCTGCCTAGACAACCAAACTTTTCCATACATCCTCTGAAACCTAGGCAGAGGCTCCCAAGCCTCAACTCTTGCACTCTGTGCACCTGCAGGCTTAACACCATGTGGAAATTGCCAAGGCTTATGGCTTGCACCCTCAGAAGCAGTGGTCCAAGCTGTATCTGGACCCCTTTGAGCCATGTCTGGAGTTGGAAAAACTGACAGCAGTGTGAGGAGCAGTGTCCTGAGGCTGTGCAGAGCACTGGGGCCCTGGGGCTGGCCCATGAAACCATTCCGTCCTCCTCGGCCTCCAAGCCTATGAGGGGAGGGGCTGCCATGAAGGTCTCTGAAATGCCTCTGAGGCCTTTTCCCCATTGTCTTGGCTATTAGCACTCAGCTCCTTTTTACTTATGCAAATTTTTGCAGCCTGCTTGAATTCCTCCCTCGAAAATGGTCTTTTCTTTTCTACCACATGGCCAAGCTGCAAATTTTCCAAACTTTTATGCTTTGTTTCCTCTTTAAATATAAGTTCAAACTTTAGGTCATTTATTTGCTCATGCATATGAGAATAGGTTGTTAGAAGCAGCCAGGCCACATCTTGAATGCTTTGCTGCTTAGAAATGTCTTCCACCAGATACCCTAAATCATTAATCTCAAGTTCAAAGATCCACAGATTCCCTAGGGCAGGGGCACAATGCAGCCAAGTTCTTTGCTAAGCAATAACAAAATTGACCTTTACTCCAGTTCCCAATAAGTTTCTCATTTCCATCTGAGACCTCATGAGCCTGGCTTTCACTGTTCATATCACTACCAGCATTTTGGTCATAACCATTCAATCAGTTTCTAGGCATTTCCAAACTTTTCCTCATCTTCGTGTCTTCTTCTGAGCCATCCACACTCTTCCAACCTCAGCCCATTACCCGATTCCAAAGCCAGTTCCACATTTTCAGGTATCTTTACTTTATAGCAATGCCCCACTTCTTGGTACCAATTTTCTGTATTAGTCCATTTTCACATTATTATAAAGAAATACCCAAGACTGGGTAATTTATAAAGAAAAGAGGCTTAATTGGCTCACTATTCTGCAGGATGTACAGGAAGCATGATCTGGCATCTGCTCTGGCTTCTGGGGAGGCCTTAGGAAACTTACAATCATGGCAGAAGGTGAAGGGGGAGCTAGCATATCACATGGCTGGAGCAGCAAGAGAGAGAGAAATGGGAGGTATTACTCACTTTTAAACATCCAGACCTTGTGAGAACTCTATCACGAGAACACCAGGGGATGGTGTTAAACATTCATGAAAGATCCATCCCCATGATTTAATCACCTCCCACCAGGACCCACCTCCAACATTGGGGATTACAATTCAACATGAGATTTGGGTGGGGACGCAGATCCAAACCATAGCAGAGAGTGATGCTTTTATTCTGGTCTTGCCTAAGTTTTTGATAGAATATGATTAACTAAAAGCCAGTGTCATGCATTCTTAATTATATTAGGTTACACCATAAGGACATCTCTTACATTTGACTGTTTGAAACCTGTCAAACATTTTATGGGGTTTGACCTAATAAGGCCCCCAGAAAAGTATAGGCCTTTATTAAACATTTATCAAGCCAATATTAACTGTTGGCTTACTTTATGAGCTATCATCCTCTTTCCTTTTCCTTACAGGAGTTGTCTGTATACTATGCCAGTGAATGTTCCATTCACTTTTTGAGCTCACTGTGACCTGATTTCTGTCTCTATCACTCCTCAAATATCTACCAAAGTCAGCAATGACTTTCTATTTGCTAAATTAAAAGACATTTTTCAATTCTTATTCTGCTATGTATCATGGCAGTGTCTAGAATTTTTAATAAATTCATTCTTAAAACTCCCATTTCCCTTGGCTTTCATGATTTCACCCTTCCTGGTCTTCTTGCTACATTTCTGGCCATTCTTCTTAATGTCTTATGAGCTCCTTCTCTCCCTTTCTTCTTAATTTTTTTTTTTTGAGACAGAGTCTCACTCTATTGGCCAGGCTGGTCTCAAACTCCTGGGGTTAAGCAATTCTTCCACCTTGGGCTCCTGAAGTGTTGGGATTACAGGCATGAGCCACCATGCCCAGCCCCTTTCTCTTTAATATTGTTGTTCTTCTGTCTTCTGTTCTAGCTTTTCCTCTCTTCTCACTTTGTATCTTCTTTCTCAGTGGTCTCAAATGCTCTGAGTCTTCAGATACTGTTTCTATACTATTTTTTCCCAAATTTCTATCTCTAGCCCTGATTTATCTCCAGAATTCCAATCCACAATTCAGTTTTCTATTGAGCATCTCCCTTATTTTTACTTAATTTAGTATCTTTTTATCCTTAACATTACTATCTCTTTATCCTTGCCTTTTACTAAGTTTGCTATCTTTTAAACTAAATTTACCGTTGTTCTCCCCATTCAGTTCCTTCTCCTATATCCCCAGTCTGAATGACTTTCACTGCCATTTACCCAGTTACCCAAGCAAGGACTCTGAGGCATCTCTGGATCCTCCCTTTCCATCCCTCCCCACAGTCATTGGTCACCAAGTCCTGTTGTGTCCACTGTCTGTCTCTCTCATTTCCACTCACTTGTCTCACCTGCACGTCAGTGCCTTAGTTCTGGTCTTTAACACTTTAAATCTGGATTATTGCAGTGGTCTCCTTGCTGGTATTTCTGATTCCATTATTACCACCTCTCATTCATCTTCCACAAGGCCATGATAGAAGTATTATGTTATGCTCAATGGCTCCCCATTGCTTGCAGGATAAAATTCATGTTGCTTAGCATGACATTAAAAGTCTTCACGATCCAGCCCCTGCCCAGCTGCCCAGCATTTAACTAGACATTACCAGCATCTGCAATAGACACTTACTGAAATATTATATGTTACCCCCATGTTCTGAATGTTTCTAGATTCTATGATCTTGCTCATGCCCCATTGTTGTTACCAACTATTTCCCATTCTTCCAGACTTAGTGAAACAAATATCCTTGCAAAGCTCTGCTCATCAGTCACACTGCCTCTCCCTTGAATGACAGCATACCTTGAATGACTTCACTTCTGCTTAGGTCTTAAATACATCTGTTTTCTTGAATATCTGTTTACTCTGACAGATGATAAGCTCCTTGAGGACAAGACTGTATTATATTTATCTTTCTATTTCTAGAGACTAGAATAGTGTCTGGCCCATAATCTGTATTCTATATTCATTGAATGTGTGAATGTGACACATATGCATATGTAGCTATATATAGGTTCACAAACGTATATGTGAATATCGAGAGAGAGAGAGAGAGAGAGAGAGAGAGAGAGAGAGAGAGAGAGAGACTGACTTCACTTTATTGGGATTCAGTTGCCCTAGAGGAAAATGCTCCTTCAGCTTTTCTTCTGAAATTGCCAGCAAGAAGGAGTTGCACAGAATCTTGACAGAACCTTGGATAGGAGGTCATTTCTGGTCCTTTCTCTTCCACCAACCAGCTGTATATGGCTTGGTGTAGTTATTGAACCTCTCCAAACTCCACTCCCTTCATCAGAAAATGAGGGGGTTAAATTAGATCACTGGTTTCTAAACTAAAGTTATTTATGTATTATTACCGTAACTAGAAAATAATGAGTTGAAATTAACTTTCTGAAATTTTTCTAATGCATATTAACACAATTACCTAGTTGCTAAAATTTTTTTAAAACCTGCCTTTCAGTGTGCCAGCTACCCACTGCTGTTTTCACAGTGACCACCAGGGGGCCATGGTGGCAGGCTGAAGCTCACACAGCCCAGAGCCTGGACAGAAACCGCTCTCACAGGCTCTCCGAGTCAAGGGGTATATATAATATTTTTGAATGAGTGGTGCTTTTCCTGTAGAAATAAAATAGTTGTATCAACATGAACAATGTTAAATACTAATTAATAACTCAAATAAGTGCCTGCTAACCTTTTTGGGATCAAGTATTTATTTATTTTGAGAAGCTGATGAAAGCTATGGACTTCCTCTATTGCAAAACCACGTGTACACATGTACATATATGAAAACTATTGAGTGTATTTTCAGGAGACTCACAGATCTCCTGAGTTATTCGTTCACTCCTTAGAGGGTCTTTGGTTCCCAGGTTAATAAAATTTAGTTTAGGATAAGATTTAAGAAGCTGTAAACATCCAGATACAATCAGATCCTTTATGTTTTATTATTTTTGTTGTCACTTTGTTCTTAAAAATCACAATTTAATTCAGCTTTTGAGAAACACTGTTTAATCCTCTGAACTCGTGTAGAAGAGCACCCTGGGTTATGTTCAGATCCTGCCAGCAGCCAAGAGAGCTTTAACTATCTTCAGGGGTTAACTAGGTTCCTCTGAGGGCAGATATCGGTACTCAAATCATTTGACCCCTCTTCTGTGGGGTCCTCTGGCCCAGTGGATTTGCTTGTTGGAGGAATAACTTTTGTGATATCCTCTTGATTCCTGTGGGAAGTTCATGTATCTTTGCCACAACAAATGGTATATGCTCAGGCCACCCTATAATAGACCCTCTCTGCCCTGCTAGGTCTCTCTAATTCCTTTTTCCCTGGTTTACGGGGCAGCAACACATCAGAAGTGAGTTCCTTAGACAATGCTGCAGCGGACAGTTTGGGTGCCCTGTGTCCCAATCCCTCGGCCTCCCTCCGATTCCCTCCACAACTGGGAACCGTGCTCACAGTCGGCTTTCCACTCAGGCACCCAACAGGTTTATCAGGCCTGTCTGCACAGGTGTTCTCGGAACCTGTGTGAGGAGGGGTGGGGGTGGATAATGCCCCAGCCTACCCAGCCTCTTAGGGAACAGTTCTGAGGCATGCTCCACACTGTTTTTTTTTTTCTTTTCTAGGAGGTTCCTACTACTAGGAACCTTTTGGCCAATGGGTTCCATTTGTCCGTGTGGTGACCAGCTCCACAGTGAACCTTTTATTGAATTTTCCTCTTTCTCACTCTAGTTTCTTGGGAATCACTTCTTCAAAATCAACCTGTACTCAGGTCCCTGTCTCAGGCTCTGCTGTTAAGAGAACCTAAATATAGACAGATATCCACATTAGAGAATTAGATGTCAGTCTTCCTTCTTGCAGGGCACCCCCAATCTTTGTGAGTGAATCTAGTGGATTTTTTTTTTCCCACTGGGTTTGAGTAGAAGAGTTTACTCCCATGTGGGCCAGGTTTGGATAGGCAAACCATGGGGTAGGGGAGAAAAACGCGTCTCTCATGAAGACCCATTTCCTAGATGGCCAACAGGTGGGTGGGTATTGAGAGTGGTGGTTGATTGCAGAGGTGCTGGTTGAGCAGCCCCAGGGGTAGGATGCCCCACTCCATCATTAGAGATTCAGAATGCAGAGCGTTTAGGTCTAAGTCCTTCAGCTTTAGTTTCCAACTCTGGAGCAACAGGAAATTTCTACCTCAATATCCTGTGACAACAGGGATTAGAAGAGAAGAGAGAGGCTTCTGTTCCTACTGTGTCTTCCATCCAATCAAAGGAAAGTTATTTTTCCTTTCTCCTAAGAGAGAGAGTTGGCCTACTATCATCACACATTTGGAAGATAATTTTCTCATGAATACATTGCATTTCTCTAACTATACACCCCGTGCATTTTTCCACTGGATCTTCACCAATATGTACGTGAAAACTGGTCCTATTTGTAACCGAAATTGTGTGTGTGCATGTATGTGTTTGTATGCATGCGCACACAAAATGTCCTTTATCGAAGACCTTTTCCCAGGGGATAACCTCAAACTCAAGCAAACAAAATATAACAAAGTTTAAAACAAAGATCTATCATGGTTTTCCAGTGGGGCTTATCAAGGCAGAGCCCCAGTTTGCCTGTCCACATATTTCCCACTAGCATGCTTCCTTTGAGATGGGAACAGAGAAGATGAATGTTGTGCAGCACCATGATGCTTTTGGGCAGAGTCATTCTTCCTCTGGCCAATTGCTCCTCAATTGCCTTTGAAACATGTGATTCTTTATTTCCCTTTGGTTGTCATGTAGGGACTAACACAGCATTCAGTGTCACAGAATTCAGTGATGGTCAGCTCTAAGCCCTTGAGATTGGAATCAAGATACACTGTATGAGACCAGAAAATAACTGTTACAGACACATTTTACCCAGGATATAAAATGAGATGGCTATGATACAACATGAAAATTATCATTACTGGCTGGACATGGTGGCTCACACCTGTAATCCCAGCTCTTTGGGAGGCTGAGGCAGGAGGATTGCTTGAGACCAAGAGTTTGAGACAAGCCTGGGCAACATAGTGAGACCCCCATCTCTACAAAAAAAAAAAAAAAAAAAAAAAAACAAAACTAGCCAAATGCGGTGGTGCGTACCTGTAGTCCTATCTACTTGGAAAGCTAAGTCAGGAGGATTGCTTGAACTCAGGAATTTGGGGCTGTAGCAAGCTATGATTACACCACTGCACTCCAGCCTGGCTGACAGAGCAAGATCTCATTGCAAAGAAAAAAATATTTGTTATTACCAACAAACCAGGATATATTTCTGAACCCCAAATCAGATCAGGAGATGGGGAACCACAAGAGACAGTGGCATGCCCTGTGTCCCACTCCCAGGAGACCAACTCCAGACCCTTAGTCATGGCCTCAATAAGAGAAGGGAGAAAGGACAAGGGGGGAAACTAAGTTGTGAGCCACAGAGGACTTCTCAGAACTTGTTTTGGAACTATTGGATTATAAATAAAAGCTCCCAAATAAAGGTCTTCCATATCATCCTCTTTGTTCAAACTCAACTGAAGTCTGTCCTGAGGCCAGTGGCATCAGGCATAACTATTATGAACCCAGATAAATATTCATGTGCCTCTCTTGCCGGGTGGTCATTTCTATGAGTGGGATAAGACTGTATAAAACAATGAAAGTCAGTTTCCTGAGGAATGTGACTTCTCCATGCTCCTTACTTTTTAGACCCAAATCATATATATATGGAAGAATTATAAAGTTACCTGTATTGTCTCTGGCAATTTTACAACATTCTTTTGTGCTCTCAGAATGGCCTTGGTAATTTAGGGCATCGTTTATTGAATGAGCAAGCTATTTCTAGGTGTAAAGTGCACTTCATTGGTTCTATGACTGGCCCAAACCCCTTCTTTATCACCATCTTCCCAAAGAGGGAGAGATGGGACACACAAGTCATATGACATAAATTTGATAGGATAGTCATCAGTAGGGAGCAGCAATTAGCAACCTTAATCAGAAGAGTTATACCCAACTCTTGTTGCCAGAAATAGTCATCTGAAAGGTGGCACTCCCTCAGGACCGCATTTTTCTAACTGTGATGATGAGAACATCGGCCTTGTTAGTTTTGGTCCTTTCTGAGACTAAAATTCTGCGATTCCAGCAGTGGCACAAAGCAATTTTTCTGGTACTCTAACAACATTAGGGGTCTCAGAGAAGGACCTCCTGTGTTACATGTGAAGATGCGTAAACCACAGCACTGTCACTAGCAGTTCCGGTGCAGGATTTTCTCACAGGTGGATTTCCTGGCTTCTCCTTGCCCTGTCAACATTCTCACTTGCAGAGCCTTCTGAAGGTGGCCTCTCGAGCAATGCCAAGGGCACTAGAGGGCCCAGGGGGCCTGAGTGCTGGGCTGGGAAGGAGGTGGCAATGTAGGCTCATCACAGGCGTGCACCCCTTAACAAGCCGGCACAGGAACCACAGACACCTAGACGATTTCTTCATTCTTTTTTCAATATTCCTGAAATATGCATTCAAACAGTCACATGGTAAAAATTGTCAATGGAATGAAAACATTTTTCCTGTGCAATTTGGAGCTAATTTTTTCTGTGATGTAGGATCTTATTTTATGAATGGATTTTATCCTCCTTTAAATTATTGATGGAAAAGGCCAAGATTTTTCCCGTACTGGGGTGGTGCCGATGGAGACCTGTATGACACTGTGGGTTCCGGGTGTGATCTTGGACACCTGAATCCCCATTGGCACTGAGTGCTGTTCTAACATTCTACCCTGCATGTTTTTATTTCTTGCCCCTGAGGGATTTGCTCATTTTGCATACTGATTAGTTTATAGCAGCGATGCTAATTTGCAGCGACATCAGGGATTACACTTTGAGAATTATTAAATATAAAGGGGACAACATTGCAGAACACAGAGGAAGCCTGACTCAGAGGACAGAAGATTTGAAAGACGGAAGCCTGTCCCTTGCTTCATTACTGAGCTACAGTGTGTCCTGGGGCCATCACTCAGCCATCTGTGGATCCCTTTCTCTACCTGGAGTAAGAATATGAGAGACAGACAGAAGAGTTTTGGTTAATCACAGGGGATTTTCTTATGGATTAAGTAATGAATGTGATTAATGATAATATAGAGAATTCCCAGTTACCCACCTGTAGCTACTCTGTAGCTAATTTTCAATTCTGTGTTGATTTCCTTCAATGACTCTCATCCCGACCCAGATGGTATCTATTTAGGAAATTCAAGAAACTTGTACTATTAGCATAAGCAGAGCAAATTGGGGAATAAATTAGTGCAAAGAAATGATCCAATGCAATAGAAAAGTGAATATAAACGGCTTCTGGATTTTCTAGGACACAGACTCATTGAATCATTCTATAAATATTTGCCAAGCCCCTACTAAGTGCTGGGCACTGGGGCCCTCACCATGAGATGAGCTCAGTCCCTTCCCTCCAGGTTCACAGTCAGGAACGAGTAACTGCAAACAGGCTGAGACTCTGCAGCCCAGAGGAGGAAGTGCGTTTCGTTCCCACCGACATCAGTACCTGATAGTAGTAGGATGGTTTTCTTCCAGACATTTCTTCTGATGCATATAAATATCCTCAGACACATTTTATCTTTTTTTCTTTCTCTTTTCTTTTTTCTTTCTTCTTTCCTTTCTTTTCTTTTTTCTTTTCTTTCTTTCTTTCCTTCTTTCTTTTTCTTTCTTTCTTTCCCTTCCTTCCTTCTTTTCTTTCTTTTCTTTTCTTTTCTTTTCTCTTCTTTTCTTTTCTTTTCTTTTCTTTTCTTTTCTTTTCTTTATTTTCTTTCCTTTCCTTTCCTTTTCTTTTCTTTTCCCTTCCCTTGCCTGCCTGCCTGCCTTTCCTGCCTTCCTGCCTTCCTTCCTTTCCTTTCTTTGTGGTATTGATTGCCCTGTTGCCTAGGCTGGGGTGCAGCAGCATGATCATAGCTCACTGCAGCCTCTAACTCCTGGGCTCAAGTGATCCTGCCACTTCAGCCTCCCAAGTAGCTGGGACTACAAGCACGTGCCACTGTGCCTAATTTTTAGTTTTGTTTTGTTTTTTTTTTTTTTTTGGTAGAGATAAGGTCTCACTGTCTTGCCCAGGCTGGACTAGAACTCCTGGGCTCAAGTGATCCTCCTGCCTCAGCCTCCCAAAGTGCTGGGATGACAGGCTTATGCTACCATGCCTGGCCCACATCTTTCATCAGAAAGTGAGTGCTTTGGACATGAGTACAGTGTTCATTTTCCCGATACAAACATTGAGATCCTGGGGAGATCAACAGCAAGCTTCTTGAGGATGGAGGCGTTCTGTCTCCATCCCCAAACAGCCCCAGTGTGAGGGTGGGGTCTGTATACAGGAGATGCTCAGTGGTCATTTATCAAGTCAATTTGTTCCCCATAGTTCGCTCCATAGGGAAAACATTTTTGTTATCATCATCACTGTCATTCTTATTTTAAAAATGAAGAAGGTAAGGTTCAGAGAGATTAGGTAAGTGCGGTGACACGGTGTGAAAAAGGCAGAACCAAGACCCAAAGCGTGGCCTCTGCCTCCACAGGCTGTGCACTCTCCACGTTGCACTGCCCTGCTGATAGCCACCAAGAGGACTCAAACAATGGGTGTGTGTGGATGTGACTGGAAGGCAGGGGAGATGGAAGTTCCTGGGCTTGCTGAGAACCTAATGGTGTGTGGTATCTGGGAAAGAGCAGGAACCTGGGACTCAGCCTGATCCGCATTGACTCCTAAACTCTCCTTCCTGCTGTCTGCATGGCCATGGGCTAGACCCTGACCCACCGGGACTCGGTTTCCTCATCAGCAAAACCGGTATAATAGCATCTTCATCTTAGGTCTGTAATGAGAAGCGAATGTGATCAAAAGATAACGTCTGGTGAACAGTACGTTCTTGATTCATAGTACTTTATTTTATTATTATCAGTTTAAACATTTTTCTTGATGCTGCTATTTGCCTTTAAGCATATGAAACAAAGAATAGATTTCTAAATTATGTCATATGTTACAATAAGTGACCTTTAAGATTATTCAGAGAATCCGATCTTTTTGGTAGACTTAGGAACAAAAGCAAGGTTCCTTTTTCTGTAACTGCTGTTTTCTAACTTACAAAAACTGAGGTGACATATTTTCTAGTATTGTTTCTAAATGTATGAAGCCTGCTTCATTGCACCATGGTTGGTTGGTTCACTTATTTCGTAAGTGTCAAGTTAAGACTCAGCAAGGGGGAAGAGTCTCCCCCAGCTTTAAAGTCTACCATCATTGGTCCATGCCTTGCAATTGCCCATTTCTTCATTGCTTTGTAATTTTTCTGTTGATGCATTTGTCTCTCCTGCTCCATGGAAGAACCAAGAACTGTTTAGCATTGTGTCCCCAGAGCCAAGCACAATCCATAGTACATACCAGGCAAGCTCAGTAATGTTTTTTCTTTTTCTGAATGAATGAATGAAATGGGGTAGGAGTAAAAGGAGACAAACATAGCACAACATATATTAGGATCAGTTACTCATTTTCTTTTCTAAGAAATGCGGAGGCAGTGCGACCCTGTGTTAATATATAAATAAGAACATGCAGCTTCACGCTTCTCCTCATTGAGCCCTGAAATAAGTACAAAGGTGGCAGACAAGATCTAGCTGTGTGGGAGATGCCACGGAAGGAGGGGATAGCTTTAATTTGGCCTTTTTAGGATGCTGAGTTTATGCCTCCAAGTGTCAGAGCCACAGATGTCTGCTCCTCTGCAGGGGAAGATGACCTTGAAGGTGATGTTATTGATGAGCTTTATTTAAAACACAGACATGTTCAAGAGCTACAAGACTAATTGGCTATGTTAAAATATTTAAATCAAAAGTGCAGCTACTTAGTGTGTGTTGGCAAACATTTTATGTTACAGTTGTAAAAATGATACATGCTCACTATGGAAACTTTAGAAAGATCAATGGAAAGAAATGATTCCACCACCCAGAGATAAGAGCTGATAGCATTTTGGTGAATATTTTTCTTTTATTTTATGTACATGTTATTAATATTTTTACAATGGTTCATTTCATACTTTTTGCCATAAAACCTGCTTTAGAAAAAACAGCAATAAATAGTGAACATTTTCCAGGCCAGTGTATCTTCTTGTGTGACCTAATTTTAGTGGCTGCTTAGCATTGCTAAGAGGTCCTGATGCTGGAGCACGATTAGAGTATTTTCAGTCTTGGGCTACTAAGAAAAAAACCTGATTTTTGTAGCCGATCTTTGTGTAAAACTATGATTATTTACATGCAATCAATACTTGGATGTGGGAATGTAGAATCCCAAGTTATATTTAATTTTAAGTCTCATTCTTATTCCCTACTCTCACCAAAGACTTATGGTTTGGGAAAACCTTTGCCAGGCCAGTTTGTTAGGTGAAAGATGATGTTTTATGTTGTTTGGATTTTCATTTAAAACTATCTTTGGAGGCTGGGCTTGGTGGCTCATGGCTGTAATCCCAGTACTTTGGGAGGCCGAGGTGGGCGGATCATCAGGTCAGGAGATCGAGACCATCCTGGCCAACAAGGTGAAACCCCGTCTCTACTAAAAGTACAAAAATTAGCTGGCTGTGGTGGCGCGTGCCTGTAGTCCCAGCTACATTGGAGGCTGAGGCAGGAGAATCGCTTGAACCTGGGAGGCAGAGGTTGCAGTGAGCCAATATCATGCCACTGAACTCCAGCCTGGGCAACAGAGCTAGACCTTGTCCACCCTACAAAAAAAAAAAAAAAAAAAAAAAACTTTGGATAATAATCATTTTCCTTAACACTTCATTTATTTCTGAGGTGGGGGATCTTGCTATGTTGCCCAGGTTGGTCTCAAATTCCTAGGCTCAAGCAGTTCTCTGCCTTGGCCTCCCAGGTAGCTGGAACTACAGGTGTGCATCACCACGCTCAGCTGTATTCCATCTTTTTGGAATTTCTGGTTGGTGCACTTGTCTTTTCCTTCATAATTTGATATAACTTTTTATAAATTAGCAATATTATCCCTTTTTCTGCCATATGTGTAGCAATATATTTTTCCCCACTTGTCGTTCGCCTATTAGTTTTAGTTGATGGTGTTTTCTTGGACATAGCTTCCTTGAATTGTTGACGTAGTTTTGCTTAGGGTAAATTGTTTTCCTGCCCACCTGCATTCCATTAGAAATGGATTGTTTTAAGGGTGAATTTGTCATTCTTTGGTGACAAATACCAACAAGTCTCCTTTAAAGACAGCTCACCAACATAAGGCCCAAACCTGTGCCACATTTTCACTAGCATCACTGTCACCAAATATGTCAACTCCGGCAAGAATAAGAGAAGGAGCCTAAAAGATTTTAAGTGGTTTTGACAGTCTTTAGCAAATTTTTTCTGAGAAGCTCGCATCCAAGCATCTGCAAATCAGTCACCCCTCCTTTTAATCTCCATCAAGGTCAGCTCTGGAATTTGGCCCTGTTTGGATAGTCCAAGGCAGTGCTATCCAATAAAATCTAGTGTGAGCCATATACACAATTTTAAATGATCTAGTACGCACATTAAAAAAGATTAAGGGCCAGGTGCGATGACTCACACCTGTAATCCCAGCACTTTGGGAAGCGGAGGAGGGAGGATCACTTGAGGTCAGGAATTCGAGACCAGCCTGGCCAACATGGTGAAACCCTGTCTCTGCTAAAAATACAAAAATTAGCTGGGCATGGTGGCACACGCCTGTAGTCCCAGCTATTCGGGAGGCTGAGGCAGGAGAATTGCTTGAACCCAGGAAGCTGAGGTTACAGTGAGCCGAGATTGCACCATTGCTTTCCAGCCTGGGTGTCGCAGTAAGACATTATCTAAAAAAAAAAAAAAAAAAACAAAATTAAGAAGAAAGTTAATCAAGTGAAAATTCTGCCAGGAGCTCAGTTGCATTTTCTAGAACTCTTGGCCTAATTTTATTAAGTTCAACACTGTGATAAGTGCTGGGAATAAAAAAAAATGTGATGTGGGCTCTGCAAGAAGTGTATTTCTCTGTGATTAAAGCTGATTGTGGGAGAAAATCTTCTGAAACCCTCAGTGACAACCTTCTCATTGACTAGTGACTCAAACAGTAGTGCAAAGCAGAAGATTCTAAATGAGCAGAGGAAGGGTGGATGCCGTAAAGGCAAGGGAACTGGTGAATTTCAGAAATAGTGAGTGTGAATTCAATACTCCTAATCATTTGAATAAAGATCTTGTTATATTTCCCCAAAATTAATAAGAAACAGGTGAAATTAATTTTAACAATACATTTAATTCAATATATCCAAAATATTATCTCAACATATAATGAACTTAAAAATATTACGAATGAGTTATTTTGTACTCTTTATTTTCATACTAAGTCCTTAAAATCTGGTGTGTGTTTTACACTTTTAGCACATTTTAATTTGGGCTAACCATGTGTCACATGTGGTCAGGGGCTACCTTATCAGACAGTGCAGGTCCCATAATAGTATTCTGACTAAGGGGAAAAAGCAAAAATCACAAGAGATTGTAATTCAGGTAGAAACTTACATTAAGGAGCTCATCCTAAAAACAGGTAAGTACCCTCCTAAGTATGAGAACAGATGGGGGCCACTTGCTGGAGTTTCTTACTCTTAAAATACTTGTCAACATGAGGATTTCAGCTTCTGCATACCTGTACCAATAGGTATGTGTTGTTTTAAGGGCCAGCGGAGATGACACCCACACCCCACTGAGAATGGAGCCGAGGCTGTTGGAACCCACTGCTCAGGACAGCTTGCACGTGTCCATCACGAGACGAGACTGGCTTCTTCAGGAAAAGCAGCAGCTACAGGTGAGCAGGTGAAAGATCTTCAAGAAATATGATGGCATTTTTCTTTTCTTTGAGACAGGGTCTTGCTCTGTTGCCTAGGTTGGAGGGCAGTGGTGCAATCATAGCTCATTGCAGCCTTGAGCTCCTGGGTGATTCTCCCACCTCAGCCTCCCAAGTAGCTGGATCTACAGGTGTGAACCCCATGCCTGGCTAAATTTTTTTATTTTTAGTAGATATCAGGTCTTAGTATGTTGCTCAGGCTGCTCTTGAACTCCTGGGCTCAAAGAATCCTCCTGCCTCAGTCTTCCAAAGTGCTGGGATTACAGGCGTGAGCCACTGTGCCAAGCTGGCATTTTTCTTATCCATTTAAGCCAAATGCAGCCAAGTGGGTCTTTGCTTTCCTTGAGTGTAGCAATTAGAGCCTTGGCTGTCAAGCCGGGGAGTACAAAAAGGAGAGATGGTGGGAATGACTAGAAGGCTTGTAGGAATCTCATTACAAACGAGGGTTGAAAGCTCAGCAGCATTTGTGCCTGTTTTCGATATTCCTCATTACCTTTTGAATATGCTTTTCTTGTCTGCCAGGCCAATTTGCCACTTCTTATCATTTTGACCTTTAGAAGCTTCCTTTGAAAGGCAGAAAGACATCTGTGCTGTGAAAATCCTTTATGGAAATTCCTATCATGGTAGACTGTGAGCTGCAGTTGTTAAGAGACAGAGTTGTAAGTCCGGACTGAGCAAGGCAGGCACATCTGGAATGATTAGCCGGCTGCTTGGAAGCCCAAGGTTGGCCCAGAACAGAGGATGCAAGTTGGCTAAGAATCATCGAGGGGCTACAAATCTGGGTGCAGCACTGAGTTAAAGCCAGAGCTCTGGAAGTTGACAGGGCACCCCAGAGGCAGGGAATCTTGAAACAGGGTCCATGCCTGCTTGAGCCTGGAGCTGTGAAGCATGAGTGGGGAGCGATGAGGACACATTGATTAGAAGCAACGTGACTTCATGGGAAGAGCATAGGTCTTCAACACCCAAGTTCAAATCCTGGCTTAGGCTGGAGGCTTCCCATCTCTGATCTGGTCATAGAGTATTCGTGTTATCTGAATTTGCCCCATCCAGGTCACTGCAAGAGTAAGGTGGCAAAGGGAGGAAAAAGTCAGGGCAATTTATTTGAAATTATTTCCCCCATTAACTGAGCACTTACACAGTCAATGTGCATCATTATAACGTTTGGATAGCTGAAAATGTGAAATCTGGTTTTTGATTTTTAATAACATTTGCCAATTAAAGGTCTACACAATTCCTGAGACAGTCAGAGTGTACAGAAAATAATTTTAGCCCTGGGCACTTAGTGTTTGAAGCACTCTGGGAAAGGTACTTGAATATTCATTTATTCAACAGACATTTATTAAGGGTTCACTAAGTGCCAGATACTGTTTGAAGTGCTTGAGATTCCTGGGGAGCTTTTGATCCACTAGGGGTGAGAATGGGGAGATAGACAATAAGTGATAAACATAATAAAACCTCTATTAGACAACTGGTATGTTATAGGGTGATAAGAGCTTCACAGAGTAGACTAAGATGATGTGGAAGAGGATGGAGTCTACTCATTGAGAAGTGAGATTGGACCCAACAGTTCAAAGAGGAGAGGGAGTAGGCCTTGCAGAAATTTCTGCAAGAGGATCCTGCAGGGGGATACCAACATGAAGGCTTAGAGTGGGAGTGGGCCTCCTGTGTTCAGAGGGCAGCTGGAGGCCCATGTGGCTGGAGCAGTGTAAATGAGGGGGAGGATTTGGGGAGGAAGTCAGAGATAAAGGGGCCTTGTAAGGATGTGGACTTTTCTCAGATTGCAACAGGGAACCATTGGATGGTGTTAAGCAGTGAAGTGACATGATCTGACCACATTGTAAATAATTTGACTCCTGTATTAGGAATAGGATGTAAGACAATAGGAAAACAGTATGCAGCTTCCTTAAAAGATTAAAAATTGATTGACTGTGTGGTCCAGCCACCCCCCCTTCTGGGTATATATCTGTCTCAAAAAAATTGAATGCACAGACTCAAAGAGATGTTTACACACCCATGTTCATAGCAGCGTTATACACAATAGCCAAAAGGTGATAACAACTCAAGTGCTCATCAACAGATAAATGATAAACAAAATGAGTATGTACATGTAATGAGATATTAGTCTCGGAAGGAAATTCTGACACACGCTACAGCATGGTTGAACCTTGAGGACATTATGCTAAGTGAAATACACTGGTTGCAAAAGGATAAATGCTGTATGATTCCACTTGTCTGAGTTACCTAGAGGAGTCAAATTCATAGAGAAAGTAGAATGGTGATTCCCAGGGACTTGGAGGAAGAGAGGATAATGGGGAATTAGTTTTCAATGGGTACAGAGTCTCAGTTTTGCAAGATGAAAAGAGTTCTGTGGATGGATGGCAGTGATGGTTGTACAACAGTGTGAATGTACTTAATGCCACTGAACTCTACACTTAAAAATGCTCAAGATGGTGAATTTTATGCTATGTGTGTTTTACCAGTTAAAAAACTAAAAGAAAAAGAAATGAATAGGGTAGAGGAAGTCAAAAGTGGAGGTAGAGAGGTTAGTTGAGAGACTTTGTCAGTAATACTGTAATCTTGGAGCAATTGGGGACACTGAGGCATTACTTTTTTCTTAGAATGTCTTGGTAGTAGACATTCTTTAGTAACTCCCAATTCTTCTCCCCACTCCCAGACTTGAAGTGGGTTCAGGAGGTAGAAGTTGTAGGTGATGCACCTCGGGGCTGAGAGAACGTGAATAAGAGGTTAGGAGACACCCAGGATTAGAGTTGCACTCTTATCCCCACAAAACATGGGAGTATGTTAATTAAGAGTCTTATTTTTTATTCAGAATCATATGGGCAGTGAGACGATGATCTACTATAACACTGTGCACATGACGGGCATTCATTACCTGCTGCTTGTTTAGTTAATTGACCTTAATATTAAATGATATTTTATGGATTATTTGGATTTCAGTTTGCTATATTCGTAGAAATTAACATTTATTTATATTTTCATGAACTTTAGACTGCATGGCACCATCTGCAGCATCTCATTCTTCTCTCAGTCCTGTAGACTTAAGAAGCCATTTTTTACCTTTCTCTGTACTCTGAATTCTTGTGTTTGGGGACAGACTAACAAAGGGTCAGTTGCATTTCTTGTTTTGGTCTGTGGCTGGGGTAACCTGCTTAGCTCAGACCTCAGGTGCATGAGGCTCCCTGCCCTGTGTCCTAACTCATCCATCCGAAATGAAGTAAGTCATTTATGTATCTGCTGGGTTCTTCCAAGTCAAATTCTTGGCTCACCCCCCATAGTTATTTAATGCTTGGGAGGGAATGTTTTTCCTTATGCCAACTCATTAGAAATATAAAGCTGGCATGATTTTTCCAGTTCAGCAAACCTCCAAAAATCTGCCTGCCTCAGAAGGGGAGTTTTGTAGTTCTGGTGCATATGGCCAATTCTCATTTAAACGAGTCATTATCCTCAGAGCAGTTTGCCATGAGCAGGGTTAATTTATAAAATCTTGTCTCCTCATTCTCTACAGAAAGAAATCGAAGCTCTCCAAGCAAGGATGTTTGTGCTGGAAGCCAAAGATCAACAGCTGAGAAGGGAAATAGAGGAGCAAGAGCAGCAACTCCAGTGGCAGGGCTGCGACCTGACCCCACTGGTGGGCCAGCTGTCCCTGGGTCAGCTGCAGGAGGTCAGCAAGGCCTTGCAGGACACCCTGGCCTCAGCCGGTCAGATTCCCTTCCATGCAGAGCCACCGGAAACCATAAGGAGGTACTGCTGATTTCCTAACTGATTTTGGGTCGCTCGCCTCTTTGACCTGTTCATTGGAATGATTTTGTCTGCTGTCTTTCATTTCTAAACATTTCCCAAGCAGTCTGTATTTTTCAGTGGAAGCACCATTGGTGTTTTGGGTGGGAAAATTCTTCACGGTGTGGGGCAGTCCTGAACATTGCAAGTTATTTCACATCCTGGCCACTTAACCCACTAAATGCCAGCGACCCTCCCCATTCCAATATGCACCCTCCCCATTTCCAAACACCCTCAGGACACCCTCTCTCCCTTTGAGAACTGTTGGAATTCAATTGGTTAGAGATCCTAATGCCAACTTTTGCTGAGGACGATCATCTGGATGAACTATGCCTCTCACTAAGGGAAGAGGCAAGCTATTGAGAGAGGGACACCCAATGGCAAAGTTCCCATCTGGAAGAATGGATTGTTACTGGTAGCTAAAATGTATTGGGTGCTTACCATGTACCAGGCAGTGTTATAAGCTGACTCTATGAGTTACTTCGGTTGTTGTATTCATTTTACAGGTGAGGAAAAACGTTTAAGAAGGTTATAATTTGCCCAAAGTCCTAATTAATAAGAGAGAAAACTGATATTTACACTCCTGTTCATTAATTCTGAAGCCCGGTCTTCTCCACTCTACTCTGGAGTGAGAATCATCCCTGTATTCTGTATCATGGAATGTCTATAAGATACACATCTACTTTTTGCCCTTTATTTATTTATTTATTTTTAAGAGACAGGGTCTTGCTTTGTTGCCCAGGCTGGAGCACAGTGGCACAATCATGGCTCACTATAGCTTCAAATTCCTGGGTTTAAGTGATCCTTTCTGCCTCAGCATCTGGAGTAGCTGGAATCACAGGCTTGAGCCTCCACATCTGGCTATTTTTTTTTTTTTTTAAGTTTTTTGCAGAAATGGTGTCTCTCTATGTTGCCCATGCTGTTCTTGAACTCCTGGGCTCAAGCGATCCTCCCTGCCTCAGCCTCTGGAGGAGCTGGGACCACAGGCTTGGGTCACCACATCCGGCTATTTTTTTGTTTTTATTTTTTTGTAGAGGTGAAGTATTTCTATGTTGCCCAGGTTGCTCTTGAATTCCTGGGCTCAAGCGATCCTCCTGCCTTAGCGTCCTGAAGTGCTGGGATTACAGGTTTTAGCCATTGCACCCAATCTTTCTTGCCCTTCAAGAGCTCATACTCTCATTTCTGAGACATACAGAACGCACACTTACACATGTTGGACAAAAAAGTGAGTGGCACCCGAATGGGTAGATGAGCAGTAAGGACTGCAAGTGCTACGTGGGTAGAGCCGGGAGTGGGAGCAATGGTCGGCTTGGCCACTGTGCTGAAGAAAAGACTTCCTACAACTCACCACCTGTAGTGGTTGAGAATACGGACTCTGCCACCTGATTGTCTGGAGTTGAAGGTTAACTCCTCACTCAACTCATTATTGGCCGATTTGAGGAAAGGGGTGTTGATAATAATTTCTACCTTATAGAGCTATCACATGGATGAACCGAGGTAGTACATAGAAAACTCTCAGCAGAGCCTGGATGGTACTAAGCACTTTATTGTGCTTCCAGTCGTCGTCTTTACAATGGAAATTTCAGTCTTCTGAAGGCCTTCAAACTACCCGTCCAAATATATCTTACTGTATTTAGTGAACGACTGTTCTGTCTTCCACATGTATCACATCCTATCCAGCCTATAAAAGCAAGCGGCACATGCTATTCTAGGGAGTTACTTAAGATCTCCTCCCATTCCCCTTCTATCCCGAATATTTCCAGGCAGAACTCTCCATGGCTCATGCCCATGGAGAGGGGGAAGAGATTTGGATTGTTGCCGGTTTTCATCCAAATGAAACGGGTCCCTTGAATACAGCTTGTTCTCTCCCACCTGCACTTTCAGAACCATTCTTCAGCTATTGCCTTGGTGTGGTGGGTAGGCTGTTATGTTCTCATTTTGCAACTGAGGAATCAAAAACTCAGAAAGTTTCCCTGATGATGTAGCTAGTAAGAGACCATCTTGTGTACAACTATGGCTGTCTTTGGGCCTGAATCAATAAAAGATGGTTTCCTTCCAGAGAGCCAAGGAAGCTATTTCTATGACTAATTCTCTTTCCTCATCTAAAACTAGGAGCTCCACAGTGTGGTTGGCTGATAGAACTGAGCCCAGGACTTGGTCTGGTTTTCTACCTGTATCCTCTGGTTTGCCTTTTAATCAGGATGAGTCACAGAGAAGGCATGAATGTGTGACTTTTACTGAGTAATCTAGTGCTTTGATAGGTTTTTATTTGTTTGTTTGTTTGTTTGTATGTTTTGAGATAGAGTCTCTCTCTGTCACCCAGGCTGGAGTGCAGTGGTGCGATCTCGGCTCACTGCAACCTCCGCCTCCCAGGTTCAAGCGATTTTCCTGCCTCAGCCTCCTGAGTAGCTGGGACTACAGGCTTGTGCCAGCACACCCAGCTAATTTTTTGTATTTTTAGTAGAGACAGGGTTTCACCATGTTAGCCAGGATGGTCTTAATTTCCTGACCTCATGATCTGCCCTCCTTGGCCTCCCAAAGTGCTGAGATTACAGGCGTGAGCCACTGCGCCCAGCCAATTGGATAGGTTCTTGAAAGGCATTTCAAAAGTTGTGGCTCTCTGATTTTATGATGCTGTTAGGGAAATTATATATGAGGATGATCTTGAACATGGGGCACTGCTGTCTGTGGGGTCCTCTGGGAGAATCCACCATCCCCAATCCGAACATTCCCACTGAGATTACAGAGGTCAGGTCAAGAACAGGCTGCCACGTTTTTGTGCTGAGGTGACTATAGGAAAACCTGGGTATCTCAAGGACTTTCAGAAACCATGAAGGCTTCATGTAGGAGGAGATCTTGGGAATGTAAGGATGAGGCTGGGAACAGTGGCTCACACCTATAATCCCAGCACTTTGGGAGGCCAAGGCGGGAAGAATGCTTGAGTCCAGGAATTTGACACCTAATCTCTACAAAAATAAAAAAATAAAAATAAAAAAAATTAGCCAGGCATGATTGAGTGTACTTGTAGTCCTAGCTACTCGGGAGGCTGAGGCAGGAAGGTTGCTCAAGCCCTGGAGTTCGAGATTACAGTGAACTATGATTGTGCCACTGCAGTCCAGCCAGGGCAACAGAGCAAGACCCTGACTCAAAGAAAAAAAAAAGGAATGTAAGGACGAAGAGTTTCATGGGAGGGTAGGAATAAACCAGAGCAGTTAAAAGGTACAAAAAACCTGGACAATCTAATGACTAGTTAATAACATGACCTTTTTCTCCTGCGATAAGGAAGTTATACAGGTGCCTGCAGCATGGAACACTCATGGTGAGCAGAGGCCATCAGCACTGGCTGGAGTTTTGTGTGGCTGGAGTGTGGCCACCCTGAGACATCCTCATTATCTGGGTGATTCTCAAGAGGTGATCCTTGGCATCAGTCTAATTTACTTTGAGGTGCAGGGAGGTATCGCCGCATCTGGAGGGCAGTGTGGGCTGTGTAGGTGCACACTTTGATTGGTCAGCTTCCTTTCTTCCACCGTAGGGAGGTGAGGCATCAGACTGCTCCCTGCCGTAACCATCAACTAGAGAAACCCGTCATCAATATTTGGGCTTTCCATTTGAGAAGGAAGATATGTCTTTTCCAAGCTGATGGGCTGCAGCATGGATCTGCAGAAGTGAAGCATTTGAAAGAAACCAGTGTAGAACCAGCTGGCTCAACAGGTCAGAGAGATTGCTTGGTCTAGTATTTTTAACTAATTGGACATGATCCTGTTAACCTAATTTTTGCTATGAAGTATTGGTTGTCTTTTAGAAAATGCTGACTTAGGGATAATATCCAGTAGGTATATTTAGCCAAATGAACCCATCTTACATACATCAATAGCTGCCTTCATTGTTCATGAGAATAGGCTCTTCTTAGGCCAGATGGAGAGAGCCAGACAAATTGTGAAACAGGAAAACCTTGAAGTCTTATAAAGAGAAGTTGCAGAGACTAGTATTGTTACAAAACCTAGAGAAACAGATCACTCAACATCACGACTGTTATCATCATCTATAAGGATTTTCATAGAGGCCAGATACAAACTCAGGGTGCTGTCTGTTTGTAATTTACTCAACTTTCTAACATGCAATTGCAATATGCTTTGTTTCGTGGACAACGACCCAACAACTTGAAAAGAAACTTCCTAATAGCATGTGACATTTCTGGATGTATCACTGGTGGAGACTTACGTGCTTACATGGAGGCCATCGTTTCTGACTGTGGCTTGTTGGGAACCCCCTGGCCAATGTCAGAGATGGGCTGGAAGTAGAGGGCATGTGCTGGGGTCAAGGACACCCAGTGATTTTCGGTTTGGGTGTGATAACAGAAATCAAAGAAGCCATTTGAATTTTCCAATGTCTGTGTTCTGGATCAAATAACTTAGCAGGAGGAGATGAAGTGTTACCATCCCAGAGACATCATAGACACTTTTTGAGTAGAGCCAACAAAAATGGTTTTCTTCCAGTGAACAAAAGGAGAACCCTTTTTAAGCACTGGAGAATGAGGAGCTCCACAGTATGGAAGCTGACAGAGCAGGGGTGCATGAAAGGACAGGAACCACTTAAAAGATATGTTCATTTGAATTTCTCTCATCCCTGGGATTTCAACCCCCCTGCTTTAAAACAAGTGCCTTGTTTTCTCCTGCAAGTCTTCCTTTGATGTGAGGGTCTTAGAAGAACCACTTTTACCCAGTGAGCTTGGTTCTTCTCCCACACGAAACCCATGGTTCTTGTTCTACCCCCTGCTGACTGCATTCCCATTCTCTGTAATGGGATTGTGATGTGGGGGTGGGGGAGGGAGGAGAGGGAAAAGATGGGGGACACAGGGAGGAGGTGACAGTGTCCAAGATTTTCTGTGGATCACATCCCTCCATGTGGGCATGAGGTTCCATCTATTTATTTGGCGTAAATTGAGGAGAATGGTGATTTGCAGCTCCTCTCTGTCTAGCACCATTAGCTCAGCCTCCCCTGGCTTCTTGTTGGTTTTATGTGTCTGGAAAACCAGGGGAGGGCAGCCTGTGACCTCATGTAGCATGCATATGGCTAACGGCAAAGTGAGGGAGGAATAATTATAGTAATAATCACAGTGATGACGTGGAGGGCTGCCTAGGATGCTTTCTAACATTCTTTAGAAATGCTTGACTGGCTTGTATTCATCTGGGGTTGAGTTCTTCATTCCTCAGCTCCTCGGATTTTTCATGCTTCATGTGAAATGTGTTCTGGCAGCTCATGGATGAATTGTCGCTTGTTGTGCATTTGGAAGAAACATGTCACATCTTTTGCAAACCATTGGCACAAAGTGTGAAACAAACTCAACCCCTGGTTACAGGAGGGCTGGCTGGGCCTTGGTTGGAGAGTCTGGGAGCCTCGCGGCAGGGCTGGGCTGGGGAGGCTCGCGGGTGGAGAGGAGCCAGGCCTTCTGCAGTATCCATGCCCCCAGCCACTAGCTAAACTGCCCAGGGCTCCCTGGCGGGGGGCACTGATTATGCAGGGTGCTGCAGGCATCCTCATCACACCTGTGCTCAGTCCACAACATGCAGTCCCTGCTGATGTCAGTCCTCCTTGCAAGTGAGATTTGAAATAATGTAATTCACCAGCTCACAACTGAATGGGAAAAAAAAATCAATAGTTCCTCTTTTCCCTCAGAAACATATCTTATTAGAGTGAGGAGACAGTGAAACAGCAAGGCCTGAATTGGAAAACTGATCCTGAATCTAGGATCCTGGTAGAGATTCTCAAAGAGGGTTGCGTGGAAGCAGCTGTGTGGGAGGGGTCCCATTAATGCTCTTGCCCCGGGGGTAGTGCGAGGCAGCCACCAAACTGGAGTCACGCACAGACTGCAGAGAATATCCCTGCAGCATATCAGCAGTCTCCAAGCTGCTTTTCCATTCGTGAAGATTGTTGTTCTTTAATCTCCACTTCTGGGCTTTGTCTTTCTCTCTCCTCTGTCTTTGCCTTCTACCTGACTGGTTTGCCAAGACAATGGCTTTATGGGACTGAGAGCATTAGACATCATCTGGAGAAAGAGGAGAGCTTTGCATTTTTCTAGGAAATTCTGATTTTCCCCCTCTTTTTTTTGGTAAGGACTTTTCTCTCTTTTTTAGAGATGGGGTTTCCCTCTGTCCCACAGGCTGGAGTACAGTGGTATGATCATGGCTCATTGCAGCATTTTACTCCTGAGCTCAAGTGATCCTCCTGCCTCAGCCTTCCAAGTGCTAGGATTATAGGTGCATGTCACCATGCCAGGCTAATTTTTTAATTTTTTATAGAGATGGGGGTCTTGCTATGTTGCCAGGTTAGACTTGAACTCCTGTCCTCAAGTGATCTTTCCACCTCAGCCTCCTGGGTCACTGGGATTACAGGGTTTTCTTTTCCCCCTACTCCCCTTTTTAAGTAAAGTAGACATCTTGCTTTTCTCAGGAATTCATGAGGCAGAAAAATATTTGCCAAGACAGCAAATGCAGTGAGACAGAAGTGTGTGAGCAATGCTGGCCAGATGGGTGCCCGGAGTGAGGCTTCCCTGCATAGGCGACATCTGCAGCATTCAGGACCTCCCTGCAGGTGTGCCCTCTCCACTCAAATTTATCCTGTCTGTCCTTCTTAGTTAGACTGGTGTTGATACTCATACACTAATTTTAATATCTCTGTTATTTACAAACTGTCATACTTGCTTACAATAACCCTATAAGGTTTGTTGGGCAATATATTGTTTTTATGCCCATTTTGCAGATGAGGCTGCTGAGGGTCCAAGTTCACACAGCCGTAAAAGCAGTGCCCTCACGTCTTTGGCGAATTTTTAATGCAGAGGGAATCCAGAGATGGTTCACACTGATGGCCTGGGAGAGACCAGGCCTTGGACAGAGTGCTTAGTCCAGCAATGGAAAGAAGTCCAGCCCAGCAGAGCCGTGGGTCTGTGGGCCCAAGGAAAAGAGAATGGATGTCCCTCCAGGCCAGGGATGGTTGTCTCTGTGTGCCTAGTGTTGCCTGATTGGATTGGAGCCAAGGTGTATCTAAAAATAGACAGCCTGGGAAGACCAAACAGGCAACTGTCTCAAGTCAGAGAGGTCTGTCAGACGTTCCAAAGAAAGAAATGTGAGAGGAAGAGAAACTGGAAAGCAAGGCCCCGCCCCAGGGCTAGAGGAACTGGTATTACTTGTCTGTGAAAAGAGGGTTTGAACTGGGTGGCGTGGAAGGTCTTTTCTGGTTCTACAATACTTTGCACTTTAGTATTTTATGAAATAAGTTAAAATAAGCTGCCTAAAAACCCCTCATAATTCTATTCCTAGGAGCTCTATGTTAAGTTCCTCCTTAAAGTTCCCTGGGCAGGCTGTGACCATCCACAGGCCACGGTGCTCCAGCTGGCACTTTCCTTAGGGCTGGTCCCTAGAGCATGGACCTGAGCAAAGCCTGCTTTCCAAGCACTGCTGCTGCAGCTCAGAGCTTAGACCTCGCCTCACCATTGTATATCCTCCCGTTTTCTTCTGGAAAGTCGTCATTACAGGCAACGTGGAAAAGTTTACCAGACTATAATCTGGTAAAGGAGGAAGAGGATTGGAAAAGAAGGAAGAGATTTGAAAATCCCCCTTATCTGGCTGGGTACAGATGCTGCTCACCAGGAAATGTAGGTTCCCAATAAAACAGGACCCCCATTTCCAGTTTTCATTGCGTTGTAAATTAAAAATAAAATCTTAAGCCCCCAACCACTGAACGGATTCCCTCTTGGCCAAGGAGACCCCAGAGACTCCATACAAACTGAGTTCCCAGCCCCAGTGGGCCGGGAGGTCGGATTTGCCTTGTTATAATCCCTCCCTTTTGTAGCTTAGACATAACAACAGAGCAGCATCAATGCTAAAACGAGATCATAAGAACTGATGGAACAGACTCTCGGTGGCAATAAGATACCAAATTATAAACAAGACCTAAGGCCATGCCAGGCAGGGATAAGTCTCACACCCCTGCACCTAAAGAGTAAACTACCTTCTGACTGCCACCTGGGTTTTCTTTTTCTCTAGCGGCTAAACGAGCACTGTCCTAGAGATGAGCTATCTTAAAACCATGGCAGTCCTTGCACCGCCAGATGCTGACTGACTGACTCTCTGTTCCACCAGCTGTAACTGCAGCTTTCATTAGAAAAGAGACTGATTTCAGTAACTTTCTTCTGATACAAAGACCAACTGTGGACTGCTTCTGGCCTATTTAGAGACACTTGAGTGCCTTTGTGTTCTGAAAAGACCTTTTACATAGAGGGCCTAATTGTAATACATGTAAATGTTAAGTCTCCACCCTAAGGTGAACATAAGTTGTATATAACATGTATGCTTATTCAGTATGCATGCATTAGGACCACCTTCATGAATATTCATAGCTCCTGCTATAACCTGTGGAATATGTATACTTGGTCAACCTATTCTTGTTTTTTTTTTTTTTTTTTTTTTTTTTTTTAAGATGGAGTCTCGCTCTGTCGCCCAGGCTGCAGTGCGGTGGTGCATCTCAGCTCACTGCAAGCTCCACTTCCCGGGTTCACGCCATTCTCCTGCCTCAGCCGCCGGAGTAGCTGGGACTACAGGCACCGGCCACCACGCCCGGCTAATTTTTTGTATTTTTAGTAGAGATGGGGTTTCACCGTGTTAGCCAGGATGGTCTCAATCTCCTGACCTCGTGATCCACCTGCCTCGGTCTCCCAAAGTGCTGGGATTACAAGCGTGAGCCACCCTGCCGGCCTTGGTCAACCTATTCTGTGTAAATTCCTGTCTTACCTGTCCCTCCCTTAAAGTGCCTGCTAATGGCTTCTGCCGGAGGCTATGCTTCCCAGCCTGTTAGAATGGCAACCTTGCAGGCTGTAACCCCCTTTTAAGAAATAAAGCTCTCCATATTCTCACTCATAGGTGGGAAGTGAACAATGAGGTCACATGGACACAGGAAGGGGAATATCACACTCTGGGGACTGTTGTGGGCTGGGGGGAGGGGCGAGGGATAGCATTGGGAGATATACCTAATGCTAGATGACGAGTTAGTGGGTGCAGTGCACCAGCATGGCACATGTATAAATATGTAACTAACCTGCACAATGTGCACATGTACCCTAAAACTTAAAGTATAATAAAAAAAAAAAAAAGAAAAGGAAAGAATGAAAAAAAAAAGAAATAAAGCTCTCCTTTCTAAATTGATAAATTGTGTGATTTTTAAGTTAACAGGCTATATTTGAGAAACTCAAGGGAGGAATTCTGTTTTACTTGCAGATGTAAAAAAAGACTTTATTAACACATGAAAAAATGCTCACCATCACTGGCCATCAGAGAAATGCAAATCAAAACCACAATGAGATACCATCTCACACCAGTTAGAATGGCAATCATTAAAAAGTCAGGAAACAACAGGTGCTGGAGAGGATGTGGAGAAATAGGAACACTTTTACACTGTTGGTGGGACTGTAAACTAGTTCAACCATTGTGGAAGTCAGTGTGGCGATTCCTCAGGGATCTAGAACTGGAAATACCATTTGACCCAGCCATCCCATTACTGGGTATATACCCAAAGGACTATAAATCATGCTGCTATAAAGACACATGCACACGTATGTTTATTGCGGCATTATTCACAATAGCAAAGACTTGGAACCAACCCAGATGTCCATCAATGATAGACTGGATTAAGAAAATGTGGCACATATACACCATGGAATACTATGCAGCCATAAAAAATGATGAGTTCATGTCCTTTGTAGGGACATGGATGAAATTGGAAATCATCATTCTCAGTAAACTATCACAAGAACAAAAAACCAAACACCGCATATTCTCACTCATAGGTGGGAATTGAACAATGAGATCACATGGACACAGGAAGGGGAATATCACACTCTGGGGACTGTTGTGGGGTGGGGGGAGGGGGGAGGGATAGCATCTGGAGATATACCTAATGCTAGATGACGGTTAGTGGGTTCAGCGCACCAGCATGGCACATGTATATATATGTAACTAACCTGCACAATGTGCACATGTACCCTAAAACTTAAAGTATAATTAAAAAAAAAAAAAAAAGAAATGCAGCCTCAGGAAAAAAAAAAAAGACTTTATTTTGTGCTACAGTAACATTTACGATGATTTTTGAATAACAGAACAAAGGAGGGTGAAAAAATGGATATGTATTTTATAATGTATTTTAATATTTTACAAATTCTCTGGGCTTGTTTTCTTTAAGAAGCTTACAACATGAGTCTATTATTCTTAGTATTATTATTGTTTAGGTAGCTCTTTGGAGGCTTGTGATTTGTAGACTCATCCATTTCTCTTTTATATAATTTAGGCATTAGATTAATTATTTTCAACTGGAGCCCCATGGATTATCAAAGATGAGAGATAGTCATTTTAGAATGATCATAGCTAGTTCTAATATTGCAGCTGCAAGTCAACTCTCACAAACATGAAAGCATGTGACCTATTTTAAGTCTTTCTCCTAGTCGATTTCAACTTTTAGTTTCCATTATTATCACCTTGAGAACCGTTCTGTACTTAATTTCTCTGTAATTTACATGTCTTTTGCAATCTTCTGTTCCCTTTATCAAATTCTCTTATTCTTTCCTTTTTGTAAGTTGTATGTTACTATTCCCTGCTTTAACTTTTCAGATGTTAATTTAGTATGTCAGGCTAAACTCTTCTTCAGACCTTGAGCTGAAACTCTGGGAGAAGAGCAGAAGTTTTGGAATCTTCCAGCAGAAGGTAATTTAGCTCTGCTCAGATAGACCCTTCTCCAGTGACTGCTGGGAATATCCCCAGGTTGGAAATACCAGCTCATTGCTTGCTGAGAATTTAATCAGTTAAGAGCACACCTTTTTCGAGCTGTGGAAGGGTGATTAATCTACCCTGTGCTGATAGCTAGGCTGCTAAGATGACCCAAAGCAAAGCCAGACAGAACCTCTAGATTTCCTGTAGCTGCTTTCAGTGGGGGGTGCTGTGTCTTATATAGAGATCGTTGTTAAACATTCATCTTGACTTTCATTGTCATTACTATTTTGTACTTCCTCTTTGGCAAATTTCCTCAGCTTCCTCTTTGAGTCATGTTGATATTGGTGTTTGGATTCTTTATGCAATTTCTCCTTTAGTCAACTGGATTTTTTTCCTACTGTTAATTCATTTTGTTCACCAGTGGTCTATTTTTGCCTTTCTTATCCAATAAAGTATGTCCATCTTTAGTTTACCCACAGAAACATTTTAGGAAATGAAATCGACAATATTCCCCAGTTTTAGGAATCAGGCTGATCTGTTGCTTTGTCAACAGATTTTGAGAGATGCTTGAGAGAAATGTGAGGTTAAAATTGTCTCTGCAGACTTGAGCTGTGCATATGCTTATTCTTAGCCAGACGCCAGTTAATTAAAGATGATTCAGAAAAGAAGAATAAACCCACAGCAGAAAGTACAACGTTTTTGGCAAACTTTACAGTTATGGAAAATATAAATACTTAGAAATTTAGGAGAAGCAAGAATATATTTTAAAAATTAGTATTAAATATAAATGCAAATGGCTGGGCACAGTGGCTCATGTCTGTAATCCCAGGACTTTGGGAGGCCGAGGTGGGAGGATCACTTGAGGTCAGGCGTTTCAGAGCAACCTGGCCAACATGGCAAAACCCCGTCTCTACCAAAAAAAAATACAAAAATTAGCCGGCTGTGGTGGCACGTCTGTGTAGTTCCAGCTACTCGGGAGGCTGAGGTGGGAGAGTCACTTGAACATGGGAGGTGGAGGTTGCAGTGAGTGGAGATCGTGTCACTCTACTCCAGCCTGGGTGACAGAGCAAGACTGTCTCAAAAAATATAAATAAATAAATAAATGCAAGCAGTTCTGGGTATTTATTTAAAAACTCAGTTGTTCCCATGGGAGCAACTGGACATTACTTATTAAATAATCAGAATAAAGGGAGGGTAGTAATTGAAATGGAAATATGAAGTTGCCTTTGGATCACGTAACAGAATAAGCCTGGATGTAGTATCATTTTCCCCTTAGATCAAATTGTTGTATTTAATGGGTTGAACTCACTTGAGTTTTTGGGGGTGGGGGAAAGCTCTAGAGCCCAAGTACTGAAATCTTGTTTGGACATTTAAATACATCGTGGTTATGAGAATAGTTGAAAATATGGAGCTGACTTGATTACCAGTCTCCAAAAATAAGAGGCTGGTAATTTATTTCCTTATTATTGTAAAAAAGAATCATTAAAGAACTTGTGAGGAAGGGGTAGAAAGGAGAATGATTATGATCTGAACATAAGGCTGTTCATATTTCTGATTCCTGTTCTCATTTTTTCATTATTAAACCACCAAAATCTCCTACAGACAAATGTCTGTAAGTCAAAATGTTTTTGGCACATGAATTACAGTTTCAGTTTGGAATAAGATTGTTTGAGGCAATGAGAAAGATCTGGTTGAATTAATACTTGGAGTATTTGGATAAGCCAAATACCAAGTTCATCAGTTAAAAATAAAGCTGTGATTTTTGATGAAACTGGACTTCAATGCATGCTGTGATGTTGTGATGTCAGGCAGAGCTTCCCAGTAAGCCTGGGGACCTGCAAGAGATGGCACGGGGTGAGGGTGTGAACGCGTGTGTGTGCTACCTTACTCATATGTGCCAATTTGGAAAGTTCAGCAAATTCACTATTAGGGCTTACTCCTTTCCTCTGCTCACTGCCTTCGCATCAGCACCTCGATCACAGGAAATCTTTTCCAAGAAAAGATCAGAAATCCTTACGTTCATTTTTTTCTCTCCCTTTCTCCCTCCATTATCCCTTATGATATGAGTTACATGGGTGCATCTTATTAAAAAGGGTTCATGGTCTTATAAAATGTGACATCGGCCGGGCACAGTGGCTCACGCCTGTAATCCCAACACTTTGGGAGGCCAAGGTGGGCAGATCACGAGGTCAGGAGTTTGAGACCAGCCTGTCCCAACATGGTGAAACCCTGTCTCTACTAAAAATGCAAAAATTATCCGGGCATGGTGGTGCGCACCTGTAATCCCAGCTACTCAGGAGGCTGAGGCAGTACAATCGCTTGAACCCGGGAGGCAGAGGTTGCAGTAAACCGAGATCGCACCATTGCACTCCAGCCTGGGTGACAGAGCGAGACTCCGTCTCAAAAAAAAAAAAAAAAAGTGACACCTCATTTTCAGTTTGCTGAGTTATTTGGAGAAGTTGTACTTTACTAAAAGGACTCAGAATATCAGAGTGTAGCATCCTAGTGGAAGACACAGTATCCTTGAAATTCAGAGAAATAGGGAGAATGTGAGTCATGATGTGATGTATATTCAGAGAAAGAGTCAAATAACTAAACGTTCAAGTATTTCCCTGGCCTAGTTTTCTTTGGTTCTTTTACTTAATGTCCTTAGCCTTGGCCAGAGAGAAAAACTCTAAATATATTTATTCCACCCTTGTTAAAAATTTATGTGCCTGATTTTGGTCAGATTACTCTAAAATATTTTCTTACTATAATCCAGGTATGGTATATGTCTGCATGATTTATGAAATGGTCTTTCTATACTTTATTCCTCCCATGATCCTCAAAAGATGAGCTAGTTGGTGAGCACGAAGGTGAGTGTCTGGCTTGAGTCCAGCAAACTCTCTGGCTTCAGCCACCACCGAACTGGAAAGAGATAATGTGCTTTGCCAAAGGTGGCAAGGATGGCAAGCAGAGGCCCTGGTGCTCCTACCTCTCAGCTCAGATCTCTCTCCACTGCACCACACTGGCTTTCCCAGAAGTAAAGGTCTCAGATAACCAGCTTGAGTCATTTTTATAGCCATGTAGAATGGCTTGCTTCTGATGAATTTATGTACCCTGTTGTGCCTTTACAAGATCATCTGAAGTCTAGAGGAATTCATGGCGTTTGTGCCTCTGTGCTCCATGAATGTCCGATGGGTGCCATGTGACATTATCAGCTGTGAGGATAGAAGGGTCTAAGGAAAGAAAAAGGCCAAGTAGATAAACATGAATTTCCTAAAGCTGTTTCCACAGTCATTTTGTTATCCACTTGCCCTCTGACAGAAGGTGAGGGGACTGAGCAGTCATTGGCAAGGTTGTTAATGTCAACAGATTTGTCTGTGTGTGTGTGTGTGTGTGTGTGTGTGTGTGTTATTTTATTTATTTATTTATTTATTTATTTATTTATTTATTTAGAGACAAAGTCTTGCTTTGTCACCCAGGCTGGAGTGCAGTGGTGCGATCATAGCTCACTGTAGCCTCAGCCTCCTGCACTCAAGGAATACTCCCACCTCAGCCTCTCGAGTAGCTGGGACCACAGACACATGCCACCATACTTGGCTAATTTTTGTATTATTATTATTATTATTTTGGTAGAGACGGGTTTTCACCATATTGTCCAGGCTGGTCTTGAACTCCCGCGCTCAAGTGATCTGCCCATCTTGGCCTCCCAAAGTGCATGGGTTACAGACGTGATCCACCATACCTGGCTGTGTGAGTGTGTTTTCATTAAAGGCCCAAGTGGCGCCTGTGCTAAGATAGCTGTCATTTTGCTCTTTCCATCATTTGTAGTTTGCTTTAGTAATAATCTCTCATTCTTAAACTGAGTTTTACAAAACAAGAAACAGGGGATGGGATAGGGAATGTAGGGAGAGGGTAGAGAGAAGGCTGTGCAGAGATAAAATTGAATTTCTCATCTCCTGTAGCTTTTTGCTAAAGTGGAACTTCAGCATAAAGCCTCATATACACAGGCAGGAAGATGAGCGGACAACTGTCTGCAGGGAGCAGGCCGTTTGCACAGTTAGCTTCCTAGCTGAAAAACACATCCCTCACTTAGTGTAAAAAATGACATGTATCTCCTGTATATTTGTCTCTATTTTATATTTCTAATATCTAATATATCTCTATTATCTATTATATTTCTGTCTCATCTAATATATTCTGTATATTTCTGTCTCTATTACTCTATTATAGAGTGAAAAACAACATGTGTCTCCTGTATATTTCTGTCTCTATTATCAATGTTATCTGGCACTTTATAAAACCTTTGTGTTTTTTAGATTCTCTAAATATCTAAAAATAAAAAAGGCTAGTAAAAGATTTTTGAATGATAGAGCAGTTAAAGAATATGGGATAGTAGACCTGGAAGGATTTTAGAAATAATTTAGTCCAACTTCCTCATTTTGCAACTGAGAAGATGGAGCCCCAGATGAAAGTGACTTGTTCAAAGTCTTGCAGAAAGTTAGTGGGGTAGTGGTGTAATTCTCTAAGTGTCGTTAATATTCTTTTTCTGCAGAGGTCCAGATAAGAACAGGAACAGAGTTTGTTCTTCAAAGGCTCATCTTTGGGGCAGGTGTGTTGTTGTCACCTTGGATGTGCCTCTAATGCTGAGAGCCAAGGCTTTGCCTCCAGTGCCAGGTGCTAAGGTGGTTATGGCTGGGTTACTGGTGGTACGAGGAACTGGTAATAAACTACCAAAGATTGTATGGAATGAGAGGTGGTTTCTTTAGGATATAATATTAAAGGGGTCTATCCAGGCCTGCCTGACATTGTGTCCCAGAGTAAGGGGTCAAATGGAACTTCCCACCTTGTCTTCCTACCCTTGCACCTGTCCCACACCATGGTAGGTTTTATATGGGGACCTAGCCTGTATGCCCAGGTAATATCTACACCCTTCAAGGTAGCCTGTGCTCGACTACTGCTTGGGCCTAGAGGTATGCCCACTGCACTGCGTCCACCCTTGGGAGCAGTGCTCTGAGAAGAGGCCCTGGCAGGATGCAGCCTCCTGGCTCTTCAGGAAGGCACTTCTCGTTTTGGCTGCCTGAACCAGCTTTGGGTGGCATGTACCTTTGGCGCCCCATTTACCCTTCCCCTCAAGGATAAGGAGGATCAGGACAGAGCCCTCTAATGTGGCAGAGAGCAAGGAAGGCGTTCTTTTGCCTGGATCTAAAGCAAGTATTGGAAGTATTACTAAGAGAGGGTGTGGATTTAAGTATGTTCTAAGGCTCTTGAGATAGGCCTCCCTAAGGGACAGGATCTGGAGAAACCAAGTAAATAGTTGTTAGTTGCTGTTAGATTGGGGCATGGGATTCTCTAACCAAATAGATGCCCAATGCAGCTGTCTTAGTCCATTTTGTTACTACAGACTGAGTAATTTATAAAGAGAGGAGATTTATTTCTTACACTTCTGGAGGCTTGGAAGTCCAAGGTTGAGGGGCTTGCATCTGGCAAGGACCTTCTTACTGCATCATCCCATGGCAGGAAGCAGAAGGGCAAGAGAGAGAGAGAGGGAAAGAGAGAGTGAGAGTGAGAGCATGTGTGCTAGAGAGAGCGCTGGAGAGAGAGAGACAGAGAGAGAAAGAGAGAGACAGAGAAGGGGAGGGGACCAACCTCACCCTTTTGTCAGGAACCCACTCCCCCAGTAATGATATCAATTCATTCATGAGGGCAGATTCCTGGTAACCTAATCATTTCTTAAAGGTCCCGCCTCTCGACACGGTTGCCTTGGGAATTAAGTTTCCGACACGTGAATTCTGGAGGACACATTGACATTATAGCAATAGCTATAGGTTTTTGAGAAAGATGAGCAAGATGCTCTAAGCACAATCACTCTGAATTTTTGGAGCCATCTTCTGATCTTGGCAGCATGTTGGCAGTGAGAACTCATCTGGCACTTGCTAGAGGCAGGCTCCCAGATGAGACCACTGGTGCCCTTTGCCCAGGCCTACACCTCACTTCCAGACTTCTAGCTCTTGCCATTCTAAGAGGCAGGAATGAGTGACCCTCCACATTGTCTTCCTTCCCATGCCAGCCTGTATTAGTTTGCTGCCATAATAAAGTAGCACCACAGCCACCTGGCTTAAATACAGAAATTCATCATGTCCAGAAGTCCAAGAATCAGCCGGGCGCAGTGGCTCATGCCTGTAATCCCAGCACTCTGGAAGGCTGAGGTGGGTGGATCACTTGAGGTCAGGAGTTTGAGACCAGTCTGGATAATATGGTGAAACCCCATTTCTACTAAAAATACCAAAAAAATTAGCTGGGTGTGCTGGCGCAGGCCTGTAATTGAGCTACTTGGGAGGCTGAGGCAGGAGAATCGCTTGAACCCAGAAGGTGGAGGTTGCAGTGAGCTGAGATCACACCACTGCACTCCAGCCTGGGTGACAGAGTGAGACTCCATCTCAGAAAAAACAAAAAAAGTCCAAGAATCAAGGTGTCAGCAGGGTTGCTTCCTTCTGGGGACTGTTAGGGAAGGATCTGTATCTCTCCTTGGCTTGTAGATGATCATTTTCTCCCTGTGTCTTTTTATATCATCTTCCCTCTATGCATGTCCCCGAATCCACATTTCCCCTTTTATAAGGACACCAGTCATGTCGGAGTATGGTTGATCTTAACTCAAAGTACATTTGCAACAACCCTATTTCCAACTGCAGTCACATTCTGAGGTATGGAGGTCAGGACATCAACATACGAATTTTGTGGAGAACACAATTCAACACGTAATATAGCCCATGAAAGGAAACCCTCTAACAGAGATAAACCAGAGAGTAAGACTTCTGAGAGATGCAATTTAAAAAGAAGAGAGGACATCTCATGAGTTGACTCCAAGTTTTTAACCTCTTTCTCTGTCATGCAAAGCTTCACCCCAGCCATACAGTCAAGAGCAGCTGCAGCCTTTAATCCCTGATCCTGAGGGGGCAGTGGTGGGAAATGGGGATAAAGATGGAGCCGCTCCCCATCCTGTGGTTTGAGTGTGCCTCTAGCAGAGGTGAGGATGCTTCCACCCCACCCCACCCCACCCCACTTATTTCTTAGAAGACAAGAATGTGAGTATTGTTCATTAATCAAATACTGATTAGGTACACACTGTGTACCAAACACTTCAAGTACTTCTCCAAAAATCCTTGCCCACATGAAATTCTTTTTCTAGTAGTAAAAGGCAGAAATAAATAACAAACATAATAAATTAGTAAGTTACATGTAGGTTAGTAGAAAATGAACATGACCTGGGGATTGGGGTGGAAGACGAGTGGATGTGAAATTTACAGCTGTCAATGGAGTAGTCAGGCCAGCCTCACTGAGAGGGTCAGAGGTGAGCAAAGACTTGCAGGTGGGAGGGGGTTGGCCCATTATGTGTGCTGGGGCAGAAGGTCAAGGCAGTGGACCCTGCACCAGCCACAGCAGATTTGAGGAGCTGTCAGGAGGCCTCTGTGGCCAGGGTGGAGTAAGCAAAGAAGGGAGCTGTAGGAGAGGAGGTAAGAGACGAGATGAGAGATGGGCCATATAGGCCCTTGCAGACTTGGCTCGACTCAGGTGTGATGGAGTGAGTAGTGGCATTTTATTTGACATGCTTGTGAAGGCTCACCCTGGCTACATCTCAAGAACAGACTGTAGAGGAGTGAGGGTGAACGCAGAAGAACTGTTCAGAGACGATTGCAGCATTTCAGAGGAGAGGTGCCCGTGGCTTGGAGCAGAGTGGTAGAAGTAGAGACAGTTCTTTGGTCAGATCAGTTATCTTTAGAATAGTTTCTCACTCCCAAGTCATTGAACCAAAATTGCCTGGCTGTCTCCTCCTGTATAAATGTCTCATTCTGGCCCTTGACCAAGTCTTGGCTTGTATTATCTAGATTAGTGACTGTTATTGACTTAAATTCCATTTGCCCTTCTAATTACGGCTGAAAAGCAATCTGTCCCCCAAGATTGAATTTTTATTACTCATATTTTTGACATCAGTGGTTGCATTCTGTTTGTGATATTGCAAGAGTATTGAAGGGAGCCCTTTTTCATTTCTAATGAATCATTTTTAAATAATAATTTTAAAATCATAATCCGTAATCATTTTTAAAAATGATTTTTAAAAATCCATAATAATCATTTTTAAAAATCAAAGACATTCTCACATAACATTTTCTTAGAGCCACCATTCATAATACTTAGCTCCTAAACTATAGACAAGAATGGTAATGTTCTACACACGTTTATTGTAGCAGCCCACAGTCTCCCAGTTGGGCAGATTGAAAAGAAACCGTCAGTCTGAAGAAAACAAAAGAGTGCCGTGTTTTCTGTTGGACCTGCTGCTGC